>NC_000010.11:464545-616060 GCF_000001405.40 Homo sapiens | reverse complement strand
TGCCCCAGCCTTTCTCAGCGTCTTCAGGATAAAACAAAAGGGTGATAAATGTGGAAAAATGCAGCACTGAGTTTGTCTATGGTCTGAGCTTCTCATGTGGTCATTAATGTGAGCGGGCTGTATCTGTGGAGCCTCCCTACAGGCACAAAGGAATCAGGCTAGAGTAAGACGGCCGGCAAACTCTGGCATCTGGGCTGCGTGTCGTTTCCTAAAGCCCTTTTGGGTGAAGTGACACAGGCGCAATGTCTGTTTGGAGGAGTGTAATCTCACGCATGAGACGCAGATTTTAAACACTAAAGTCAAGAAGCTTGGTGGGAGTGGCTGTCTTCCAAGTGGGTTTCTGTGTTGCCATGGATGAGGCATGGATGTGTCATCTGTCGGTGAAATGCGCTGGTGAAGAGGCTAAGCAAACCCTGTGTGTGTGTGTGGGGCGGGTGTGTGTGTGTATATGAACCTACATCTCTTCTGGCATCCGAAGTAAATAGACGTTTTGTAAAACTGGTGAATTTGATGACTCTGACCCTAACCCTGAGAGTTGAAGTCTGGTGCAGTGTCTTGAGCCCTCTTCTGCATTGAGGGTGAGTGACTGTAAATGACTGATTCCTCAGTGGCGAAAGTTCAAATTTAGCGTCCCTGAGGAAGCCAGACCTCATAGTCACCTGTGTCTCCATTGTAAACACCGTGGCCCCTATGCGGGTGGCTGCGAGTTTCCAGGCCCTCCTTGCAGAAGCAGCCATGCAGTGCTTGGTGATTTGATAACATCAGCCACCTTCTGTCTTCTGTCTAATCACGGTACAAATGATTTTCCTACAGGGAAACAGATCTCATTTCTTCCCCGATCGTTGGGAGAAGCAGCCCGCCTAGGGACCGCACCGTCCTCTGCACTTTCACAGTGAAGCCTGTGTCTCTCTCCGAGAAGTGTCACGTGTGTCGTGGGAATCACGGGAATTGCTTCCTTAATTCTCCTTTCTTAATGAGGGCTTGGGACAGCGCTGCCTGTTTCACATGGGACGAGCAGCTGGTGGTTTCTGGCTGGCGTGGGACCAGCGCTTCGGCTGTGTCATCACATCTGGTGGCCTGTCCAGCTGGGTGTCATTGTCTCTTGTCTCTTGGCTGAGGCAACTGTGATGCCATGGGGGTCACGCTTGTGTCAGGGCCAACCCAGTTCTTCCCATGCACACCTCTCCTGCTGGAGTGCTTTTCCTTATGATGACGTGTTGGATCAGTGTGGAGAATGCAGAGAGGCTCTGGGCCTCTCCTTCCCATACCTACTCCCTGGAGCCGCGATACCCGGCAAGGGAGCCCGTAGCCAGAGGCTCCTTTAAATTTCATTAGAATAAAGATTTGATTACACAGCTAAACACACTTGAAAGGAACTTTATGGATCACATTCAAGACTCAGCCCTTCAGGCCCAGTGGCCATGTTTCGGGGCTCAGCAGCTGTAGGTGGCTGTTGTCTTTGTGTCGGCCGAGCAGATTGGGACGTTTCCAGTTCAGCAGGCAGTTCTCTTGCACGGCTGTGCCTGTGGTGAGGGCACCTTGGCTGGAGAGCCTCGTGGGGGGATCCCTTAGGCCTCTGGCTGCAGCCAGGCTGCATGGTTCCTGTGCCCCGGGTCCTCTGCAGGCCGAGACGGATCCCACCACAGAGCCGGCACTGTTAGACTTGGGTACTGTGTGCAGACAAAGAGGTGCATGTCCAGGCCTGGCGGGGGCTGGGGTGACTCTGGCCTCCTTGGCCAGGCTCCCGTCTCCGAGTCTCCAGGGGAAATGCACCCATCATCCACACCATACACTGGAGGAAAACTGCAGGCTTCTCTGTGTGGATGGTGAATTGAGATCACCAAGTGTGACTCGGCTTGGGCTCCTAGCCACCGTGGAACCCAGTGATACCTTTTAGGTGGAACCTGACATGCCTCCATGTGTGCATGGCAAAGAGAATGCAGCGTTGTCAGCTTGAATCCAGATGTGTGCCTGTTTTGAGGTGGAAGGTTCTGGGAGCGTTGGCTGTTGGTGACTGTCCTGCCATGGAGGACGTTGAATGCAGGCACTGGTTTAGGATAATGCCTGGTTTCCTGGTCCTGTATGTGGGTATCCCTGAATATCCTGGGCTGGAGGAAGGCAGGGCAGATGGGAGGGTGACAAGAGGTCAGGTGTTTCCAGCTGTGGGGAGTGATGCCATCAGATGGCCGAGATCAGGAGGGTGGCCGGGGAACCAAAGCAGGGGTGTGTGGAAACGCCATGTTTCCCGGGGCACAGGGAAGACCTGTTGAGATCAGGAGGGTGGCTGGGGGACCAAAGCAGGTGTGCGAAATGCCATGTTTACCAGGGTGTGGAGAGGATCTGTTGAACTCCATTCCTGGGCAACAGTTCTTCCATTCTCAGGAATCTGCCATTGTAATTCAGTAGCAAATTCTGCAATTGCTCTAATTACCTGCTGTTAAGTCCCCATCCCAATTACCATGAATTAGAAACAGTGACAATTATTGAGAGGTAAGGAATCGCATATTTCCAGGGTGGAGACGAATGCAGTTGTTTGCCTGGTCAAGCCTTGCCAAGAAAAACCAGTGGAACCAGTTTTAGGTGCCTTGAGTTCCCTCCAAATCGGATTCCTTAGTGGGCTTGTGTCCACAGCTGCTGCAGTTCCTCCCGGGCCTGGCAGGCACGTTCCAGACATTCACATCTCAGCTCAGATGCAGGCGTGCACATTATTTATAGAAAATCGCACTGCACTGTGATCGGCTCTAGCTGACGTTTTCTAGGTGGGAGGCGGAGGCCGAGGACCTGTAAGGGACTGTCCGAGCGTCCTCTCACTGGCTTGGAGCAGGTGCACATCTGTTCTTCAAAAGTTCTAATGGGATGAAATTAGAAATCTGAATTTTAAAAATTCACATGTTATGAACTCTGGTAATTTCCCCTGAAATGAGTGACTGTTTTTTGCAGACGAGGCAGTCAGCCTGTAGCTCTCCTTAGAACGGTCCTAGACCTTGGGCCATGCTGTCCTGTGACCTCTTCCTGGGTGTGGGATGCTCTGCTTGAAGCAAAACTGCAGGAAAGAACGTGGTCAGCGTTCATCACTGCTGCAGCCAGCTCAACGTGCACACCCACTGGGAGGGGGGCCGGATCCCTTAAAATTTTACATGCATTTAACAGTAAACCAGCAAGTCAGCCAGTGCTTTCCGTAACCAAGCTGCTTGGCTCATGGGAACCTGACACTTCTTGACTTTCCGGAAGAGAATACTTGCTTCTGTGGAGCGTCAATATTTGTCTCATTTCTTGAGACTCTGTTCAAAGCAATGAACATGTGTGTAAATTAGGACCTTTTTGTGTAAATTGGGCCACAGAGCTCTCTAGACACAGTCGGCGGAGTAAACGGCTGTGAAAGATGCCACCTGATGTGAGCTGTGGCCGGGCCCTTTGGAACCTGGGATCCCATCTCCAGCCTTTCAAAGGACGTAGAGGAATATAAGATGCAGATGGGAGGGTTCATATTTTGGGCATCTCTGTTCTTTTGAAATCAAAGTGCAAAGAAAAATTTTGCCTTGAGGTCTTACCCCACACTTGTTTTTCTCCTGAGGTTTTAAAATTTCCTTAACTGTGCTTTTTCTCCTTCCATCCTTGGGGAACTTCTTTCCATCTTCATATCTTCTTAAAAGATAGTTAAATTCAACATTGAAATGTAAACACATGCTTTCATATTATTTTTCTTTTAGCTGATATATTTGACATCGGTGAAGAATTAAGTGGGTGTATTGGTTTATTTTTTTTTTTTGAGACGGAGTCTTGCTGTGTTGCCCAGGCTGGAGCGCAGTGGTGTGACCTTGGCTCACTGCAACCTCGCCTCCTGGGTTCACGCCATTCTCCTGCCTCAGCCTCCTGAGTAGCTGGGATTATAAGTGCCCGTCACCATGGCTGGCTCATTTTTCGTATTAGTAGAGACGAGGTTTCAACATGTTGGCCAGGCTGTCTCGAACTCCTGACCTCAGGTGATGCGCTCACCTTGGCCTCCCAAAGTGCTGGGATGACAGGCGTGAGCCACCGCACCCGTCCTGGGTTATTCTTGATTTTAACTATAATAGATCCCTTAAAAAAAAGCTGTCTGAAAATCTTGAAATTAAAGAGCTTACTTGGACAGGGATTCGGACACCAGTTGAATGGCCCAGCACAAACCATAGTTACATGGGTCACTGGGCCTGTTAGATCCTAGGGTATTTGAAGTCGTGGGGATATTTGCATTTCTGCCTCTGAATATCATGTTAGTACGAATTCAGCTGGTGTTTGAGGGCCAGGCTCAGATCTGGGAGAACAAGAGCCCCTGCTCTCATGGCACTGCTTTCCTACGTGTGTGCCTTAGGAAAATAGCATCGGATGATTTTTCAGTGAGTGGGGAAGATGGAAAAAAAGGAAGCTTAAGATGTTTAATTGTTCAGAGCAAGGGAAGTGCAAGGAATGCTCAGCTTTTCTGCTGCTAAAGAGGCCCTGGTGGGAGGCTGTTTCAGAGGTGGGGTTTCTCTGAGAAAGGTGGTAAGAGACAAATAGGATGCCCCATCTGGTTTGCCAGAGATGGGGAAAGTTAGTTTCCCAAAAACAGTCTGTGCTCTGGCAAAGGCTTCGGAAAACCAGCTAGAGTGCGGGACCTTGATGGCCGCTGGGTAGAAGGAAAACATTGCTGGTCCTGCGGCCTGCGCTATTCTTCCACTGCTATAAAGAACTACCTGAGGCTGGGTAATTGATAAGGAAAAAAGGTTTAATCGGCATACTGTTCTGTGGGCTGTACAGGCTTCTACATCTGGGGAAACTTACAATCAGGGTGGAAGGTGAAGGGGAGGCAGGCACGTCTTTACATGGCCGGAAAGAGAGAGTGAAGGGGAAGGTGCCATGCACTTTCAAACAACCAGATCTCATGAGAACTATCATGAGACAGCACTTGGGATTGTGCTAAACCATTAGAAACCTCCCTCATGAGTCAGTCACCTCCCACCAGGGCCCACCTCCAACACTGGGTGTTAGAAAGCACCCCCGTGAGTCAGTCACCTCCCACCAGGGCCCACCTCCAACACTGGGGGGTTAGAAAGCACCCCCGTGAGTCAGTCACCTCCCACCAGGGCCCACCTCCAACACGGGGGGGTTAGAAACCACCCCCATGAGTCAGTCACCTCCCACCAGGGCCCACCTCCAACACTGGGGGGTTAGAAACCACCCCCATGAGTCAGTCACCTCCCACCAGGGCCCACCTCCAACACTGGGGCGTTAGAAACCACCCCCATGAGTCAGTCACCTCCCACCAGGGCCCACCTCCAACACTGGGGGGTTAGAAACCACCCCCATGAGTCAGTCACCGCCCACCAGGGCCCACCTCCAACACTGGGGGTTACAGTTCAGCATGAGATTTGGGTGGGGACACACAGCCACACCATGTCTGGCTCCCCGTTCTTACCTGCACTTGCTTCGCAAACGATTCTGTCATTGGTTTATTTTTGTTTTTGTTGATACATAATATATGTACATATTTTCAGGGTGCATGTGATACCTTGATACGTCCCTATATTGATCAAATCTGGGTAATTGGGATGTCTTTCACTTTAAACATTTTCTTTTCCTTGTGCTAGTAACATTCAAGTTATTCTCTCCTAGCTGTTTTGAAATACACAGTAGGTGACCCACTGACATTCCCCTGCTGGTTTATCAATAGTAGATCTTGTGCTCCTGTCAGGCTGTGTGTTTGTGCCCCTTACCAGCCTCTCCCCATGCTGCTTATGAGTGGGCCCTGCTGACCACCTACTTTTGGCCTCCATGACATCTGCTGTCAGCTCCTGCTCATGAGTGAGAACATGCACCATTTCTTTCTGTGCTTGGCTCGTTTGCTTAATGTAATGTCCTCCAGCTCCATGCTGTTGTGGATGACAGGGCTCTCTCCTCTGTGTGGTGGAGTACTGCTCCTGTGTATGCTCAGGCCACATTCCCTTCATCCCCTGTTGACCGGCACTCAGGTGATTCCGGATCTTGGCTGCTGTGGACGGTGCTGCATTGAAGCTGGGAGCAGTCACTGGCTTTATATTTGGGGGACGTGAGCCACTTTGATGTTCTCAAGCAGCCTGTCCCCAAAGCCCTCGGTGGAATGCCGCATTCCTTTGTGCCCCTCGCTTCCACTAGGAAGAACCGCTGGGAAGGGGCTTTGAGTGAACGCTTGGGTTTCTGTCTCTAATTGGTACCCGGCTGCACTGACCAAGCAGGGGTCCCAGTGACCCTGGACATTGCCTCACATAAGATCCAAAGATGCAGTTAGGTTCTTTTTAACTTCTTAAAAAATGCTTTTGACCTGGTTAACCTATAGCATTATCAGTTAGTGTTTTTGATATTGGAAAGGTGATGTATTTTATTTTCTAAGAAGGAAAGAAACACAAGTTATCCTGTTAAATACTCTAACCACAGACTAAATCACATCAAGGAAAGAGGAACTATTTTGGGGGGAAATTAGCCCTTCATGTCAAAGATAAAGGAGATGACTTACATTGTTTTTTAATTGAGTTAATTATGAAATCTTAAGTGGGTTTGAGAAGATGAGCTGTGGATGCTGAAAGGAGAGACTGATGCTGATTGAATGTTAGTCAGCCCTGATAGGATGTGGCTAGTATTTCAAGCTTGCTCCAGTATTGTTTGATAGATTGTAAGTGAATGTAAAGATCTATTTGATGCTTTTATTTTACAAAATACTATTGAGAAAAAGTTTCTGACAGCCAGGGAACAGCCTTCAACCAATTTCTTCCTAATTTCCATCACCAGAAAAAACTTGTCCTGTTAATTCCAGAATTTACTTTTGGAAAGTTCCTGTAAGGAGAGCAGAGGTATTGGTGGTTGAATGGTGACTTGAATTTAGGTGAAGATCATTAAATATTTTTGTAGTCATGTTTGTCTTGGTGGTTTTAGCAATTTCATATTAAATTTAGAACTGCGAGTCATAAAAACCAAACGTGGTCTTACCCTTTGCTTTTGTGATACTCCTTTTGTTTATATGACTATACTGGTAAAGTGATGACAAAATCATGCTTATAGGGTTTTCTTCTGTGTAGATATTAGGATTTTTAGGGGAACAAATTCTTCTAATAGACATTGTGCCATGTGTTGGGGTCCTTTGTATATTAGTCAAATCACTGTAATGAGAACCACTTGCAAGTATATTTCTATACAAGATCTTTTATATGCTGACTCGTGGTATGTAAAATCCTTCATCCTCTAAGAAGACTAAGCAATGGGTTGGAGGAGAGGTTTATCCCCCATTAGGTCTATTCCGAATGCCCAGAATTGAATGCAAGTACGAATTGTTTTTGAAGTGGTGTGTGTGTGGGGGGATGTGTGTGTGTGGGGGGGATGTGTGTGTGTGGGGGGGGATGTGTGTGTGTGGGGGGGGATGTGTGTGTGTGGGGGGGGATGTGTGTGTGTGGGGGGGGATGTGTGTGTGTGGGGGGGGATGTGTGTGTGGGGGGGGGGATGTGTGTGTGGGGGGGGGGGGGGGGTGTGTGTGGGGGGGTGTGTGTGGGGGGGTGTGTGGGGGGGTGTGTGTGTGGGGGGGGTGGGGGGGTGTGTGGGTGTGTGTGTGGGTGTGGGGGGATGGGTGTGGGGGGGGTGTGTGTGGGGGGGGCTGGGGGTGTGTGTGGGGGGCTGTGGGGGTGTGTGTGTGGGGGGCTGTGTGTGGGGGGGGCTGTGGGGGGGTGTGTGGGGGGGCTGTGTGTGTGTAGGGGCTGTGTGTGTGTGTGTGTGTGTAGGGGCTGTGTGTGTGTGTGTGTGTAGGGGCTGTGTGTGGGGGGCTGTGGGGGTGTGTGTGGGGGGGGCTGTGGGGGTGTGTGTGGGGGGGCTGTGTGTGTGTTGGGGCTGTGTGTGTGGGGTGTGTGTGGGGGGGGCTGTGGGGGTGTGTGTGGGGGGGCTGTGTGTGTGTTGGGGCTGTGTGTGTGGTGTGTGTGTTCCTTTTTAGGTTATGAGAGGGAGGTAGATCAAAGACCAGATTTGCTGATGAACATTTGTGCATATTCTAGTGGAGAAGTCATATGACTTGACCGCACCTGCGGACTCCGATTTTGGTTTCATTACGGTGTCTGTAGCCGCAAGCCTCAGCCACCTCTGGGACCCACACTGAGGGGCTGTGGTGTGGGTTATTACAGAGTCGTACGTCTTAGCGAATGACACAAATGGCCTTGTGGGCCTACTTTGGCTTTGTTTGAACCTGTAGATTGTTAAACTAATTTTAGTTTAACATTTTGAAGATTATAAATTGTGATTCTTGTCTAAGAAGAGGTTTCCATTGTCTCTGAAGACAGAAGCCGCAATACAGATGGTCTCTGGCTCACAATGTTTACACTTGTGATTTTTCAACCTTATGGCGTGAACTAGTCACACTCATTGCATCGTTTGGGCCGAGATGGGCTGCCTCTGGATGAACCCGTTGTAAGTCGAAACTATTATGTCAAATGCACTTTCTATTTAGGATATTTTCAGCTTATGCTGGGTTTATCAGAACAGTTTAGCCACGTGGTAAGTCAGGGAGCATACGTGCTCATAAAGGTAGAGACGATCTCATAGATACCATTTAAGATATAACGTCTCTGATGTTATAGAGGGATACAATGAAAAAAATCAAGTGGGACTTGGAAGTCTTGGAGGGACTCATGTAGGCGGCTCCTGGAATGCAGACGTGAGCACCACTGGCTTCTGGATAATGAAGTCTGTGCCTTCTTAGCCCAGTGGGTTATCAGCTGCTCTCGAGGGCAGAGGTCCAGCAGCTCAGCTGAGGACCGTTCCTGTGTTTAGGTGTTTGAGCTGCCTTAAAAGAGGCAGGTCAGTTCTCACTGGTGTCTTCGAGGCTTTAGGCCTTCTGAATAAGCAGGAGGAAGGACGACTTTGTAGAGCTTTGGAAATCTCAGCGGACTTCAGGGCCATCCTCCTTGGCAGGAGAGCCCCACCGAGGTGAGCAGGGTGCCGTGCAGGCCGTGCTGGGCCCAGGCATGTACGGACGTTAAGGGCCACGGGACACAGATCGGTCTTGGTTCCTAAGTGATGTTGATGGCCACGCAGCATTTCTGCCACGTACATGAGTGCAGGGACTTGGGTTTGGGGTGTGCGTCCTGGCTGCCTAGTTGCTTGGAAGGCCCCTATTCAGACCCCAGCCTGAGTCACCATGACAGGCCTCCAGCTTCACACGCCACACGGAAGCTGTGGCGTCCGTCACTGACGCCCACCAGATGTCAGATGTCAGATGTGCGTGTGTAGCTTCCCTGGTCTCGGGTTGGGTCTTGTTTTGAGGTTATAGAAACGTTCTTTAAGAGGGGTTTTGGATTTTTTGTTGTTTGCAAGGAGGCAGCAGAGTGCTTAAGCAGTGAGATCCCTTTCCTAATGAGAATTCAGATCACAGCACGTAATTACAGCAGTGGGGCCATGAGATCCCCTCCCAACCAATGAGAATTCGGATCACAGCAGGTAATTACGGCAGCGGGGCGAGAGATCCCCTTCCCAACCAATGAGAATTCGGATCACAGCAGGTAATTACGGCAGCGGGGCCGTGAGATCCCCTCCCAACCAATGAGAATTCAGATCACAGCAGGTAATTACCGCAGCGGGGCGAGAGATCCCCTTCCCAACCAATGAGAATTCGGATCACAGCAGGTAATTACGGCAGCGGGGCCGTGAGATCCCCTCCCAACCAATGAGAATTCAGATCACAGCAGGTAATTACGGCAGCGGGGCGAGTGGCCGTGCCCTGAGCTGTGTGGCTGTGACTGGTGTCTTCCCCCTCGGACAGAGCGTGCTGGGGCCTCAGTGGTCCTCTGGGGGGGTGGGTGGAGCCCATGAGCCAGGTGCTGCTGGGCCGTGGCTGGCACCCCAGCCCAGGGTTTATGCAGGACTCGTTCTGAGGACAACTTAGAACCCAGAAAGCAGCGCGAGGAGAAACGGGTTCGTGGGTTTCTGTATCTTTGGTGCTTCCCGGTCTCCACGCTGCGCAGGCTCCGGGGGTTCTCGCCAGGAAGACTTGCACAGTCGGACCCCGGCGTGGAGTGGGGCTGCAGAGAGTCTTACAGGAGCCGGAAGTGGGGGGGAACGTCTCGCAAGTGGGACCTTTCAGATGGGCCCAGCAGGATGCATATGTGGAAATGGCACGGCCTGAAAGGCTGCAGTGGGCTCCGTTTCTGCTCTCCTGAGAGTCTCTGCCCGGTTTTCTTTGGTTTTTGTCTGTTTGGAGGACGCTTCCTCCTTTCTTGGGCTTACCCAGCCTTCTGAGCTTCCTTGTTGAGTATCATAGCCCTGAGAAGGCATTTTTATTGCATAATTATGTTATCCTGGTGGCTGGTTAAGTGACCTGCAAATGTGGGTGATTGAGTAGTTCTGAGGGAGATCAATATCTAAGACAGAGGTGGCAATGAAATGTTCAGGCAGGCGTCAGGAATCTGTTCTCTGCTTCATATTGGGGCCCTGGTTTGCTGACAGTCTTCACACTCCATCTAAAATGGGGAAAATAAAGTTTCACAGATTCGGCTTAAGCTGAGAGCTTTCTCCAGCACAGTCTTGTGTGAGTAACAGTTTATGTGGTGCGAAGGGCGGGCATCAGTTGATCTTATTTGTTGTGGTGCTTATGGTAGTTTTTCTGTAAGGAATTTTATTAGCTTGGGCAAGGGAATCATGAGTGATAAATTGAAAGAATGTTTCAGGAAATTCTGGAACCTGTAGTGAATCTGGAATCTGTATGAAATTGAGATTTGGAGTCTCACGATTTCCTAACGTGTCCCTGAAACCCAGTAGTTGAGATAGTCGTAGAGCTTCAGTTCTGCTGCCCCCGTTCCCCATTTTAAAAGGAACACGTTGCTTTCATCTAGAAGGTTCTGAGCTCTGAGTGCAGCCGGCGGAGTGACCAGCTCTCTGCATCAGAGGGGAAGCCAGGGCTGCGCTCACGGCATCGCGGCAGCTGGGAGCCGACCCTGGACCTCAGGCACGCATGATGCTGACCATTTTCTGTAAACTCCAAGGTTGCAGTGGTCTCCTTGGTGCTTTATAGTCTTCTGAAGCTTTTGATGTGTCTGCACTTCATAGATCTTTCGGAAGTAGATGGCCTTTTCCCCGCACCCTTGGGCTGAGTTTTATCAGAGGCTGGTGTGTGGGAAGCACCATAGCCACTTCTGACAGAAACTCGGGTGCCCAGCCGAGGTCAGAGTGGAAATTTGTGCTTTTCCTTCGCTCCAGTATGGTCTGGCTTCTCCCTGCTTGGCCAGAAGAAAATCATGCTTATCCAAGTCATAGGCAAACCCCCTAAATTAAACATTTGTCTTTTTTCTTTAATATACCCATTTAGTTTATATGGGACAATAGATTGACAAATGTCTTTTAGGGGAAAATTAATTTAATTAGAGAACTTTTTGGATAAAAACTATAATCAAGAGAAGCTGTTTTGTAATAAGATCTAGTTAAATACTAAAGTTGAAAGCTCCTTATATTTGATCTTAAACTTGGGCCCAGGGTGCGTGTCCGCACGCTTGCGCTCATGACGCCAGGCTCAGCTGTGAACTACAGGCACACTGTACTTACTTTCTGGTTGCTTTTTTGAAAGTCTTATTGCTTGGCCTCTCCGACTCAGATGTTGAGTTACATTGATTCTGTTCCGAATGTGTTCATCCCTCCATCTAGGGTCCACTCGTCTTTCAGGGAGCAACTGCCTTCCTCATCTTTGTCTCCTATGGTATTGTATATTTAATAGTCAAATATTTATAGGTTGCATGGGTGACTGATGTGTTCATTAGGAGGAAAACAATGCCAATTTTTACGTCATTATAATGGACTTGTTAAATGCTTGTTAGTGTAATGAAGTTTACATGGCAAAAGAGGCTTTGGAGATGTGACTGCGTAACAGACAGTGAGATGGGGGAGGACCCTGGATTGTCCAGGTGGGTCCAGTGTCCTCACACACATGCCTTGATGAGAGGGAGTACGAGGGTCTGCCTCAGAGGAGACCTGAGGATGAGGTAGAGGCCAGAGGGGGTGTGGGGCTGAGGGCAGGGCTGGGGGGTGGGGTGGTGTTGTGGGGCTGATGAGGGAGCTGGGGCCGGAGGGGCTTGGGGCCAAGGGTGGGGCAGTGGTTGGAGGGGTGCCGGGCCGGAGGGGTGTGGGGCTGAGGCTGGGGCAGTGGTCGGAGGGGTGTGGGGCTGTGAGCCAAGCTGCATGGTGGCCTCTGATTTGGGAGACTCCAGGCAGGAATGCAGCCTACTGACCCCTTGACTTCAGCCCTGGGACTCCTGACTTTCAGGGCTGTGAGAGGAGGTCTGCGTGTGTGGTAATTTGTTGCAGCAGCAATAGGAAGTTAATGCATTGTATCTATTCACCTCCAGACCTTTGAAAAGTAACCCTGTTGTATCAGCCTTTTGTGTGCCCTAAATTATAATGAGATGGTTTGTGGGAAATAGACACAAACGATGGCAGAACAGATAGTTGGACAGAAACAGTGTCTTCTGTGGTTCTATGATTTGGGTCTTTAAAGTTAGATTTCGATCACAGTATGGTCTTGTTCCAGGTATACCTGATATACTTGTTCAGAGCTCCTGGGGGAGTGGTCTTTAACACATGACGTGTTAGGATTAAAACTTCAAGCACATCAGAGACAGAGGTCCTGAGTCAGTGTTAGGCGACCTTTGAATAAGGGTTGGGGTATAGAATCTGCCCACATTACTAGTATGAAGCAGCAAAATCTCATGGTTGGTTTTTTTTTTTTTTTTTTTTTTTTTTTTTTTTTTTGAGATGGAGTCTCATTCTGTCACCCAGATTGGAGTACAGTGGCGCAGCCTCGGCTCACTGCAACCCCCGCCCCCCTGTGCTCAAGTGATTCTCCTGCCTCAGCCTCCAAATTGCATGATTTATTTTCCTGTTTTATATACTTAGTATATGAAAACTCTGCAGACTTTATTAACACAAATGACATGCCAGAACTTACATATGATAATCCAGCATTTTCCCGTGCAAATTAGTGGTGATGTGGAATTCCTGGGCTGGTTTGGTTTTATAAGACGTAGGGTGGATTCTTTGCCTAATTTCTATGGAGCTAACAATTGTTAATCACCCAGCACTCTTGCCTCCCCCAACGGCTCCGGTGAGGGGTGTTATCACCACTGTTGTGTTGAGAGGCGGGAGACTGAAGCTTAGACGAGCAGGTGACATGTTGCTGTCCGGCCTCACCCACCCTGTAGTTTCCTGCCATGGCCCAGCTATCTTTCTGCGAAAAAGGATCGACACCCTGGTTCTGGGTAGAATTCCTTGTGAACCCCGTTTCCATTCTCCAGGGAGTTCTTGCTTTATGGTGGTGGCTCACGGGAGGCCTCTGGCCCACTGAGAAAGTGGCTAATGTTGTAACATGACTGTCTGGGCTGCTGTAGATTGGGTGATCTGTAGCTCACAGCTCTGGAGGCTGGGAAGTCCGAGGTCAAGGTGCCTGCAGATCTGGTGCCCCAGGACCTGTTGCTCACAGACGGCAACATCTCACTGGGCCTCACGTGGCGGAGGAGCAGGAGGGCTCCTTCAGGCCTTCCAACAAGGACACCAACCCCGGTCCTGAGAGCGAGGCCTCCCAAAGGCCACACCTTTTAACGTATCCCATCGGAGATTGCTTCAGTGTGCGTGAGGTTTTGGGGACAGACATTCAGGCCAGAGCCATTGCTCTGCTGTGGTGTTAGGGCTGCGATGGTATCATTACTGCCACAGAGCCACAGCCTTCTCAGCTGCATTTGCTGCAAGAGGAAGACACAGGTGCCTGTGCAAGTTGGGGTTCGGTGCAAGAAGCGGAGACCCTCTGGGAATCAGAATCAGCAGGAGGAACTTAAGGGCTTTGAGAACTGACACTTTAGGACTGCAGGAGTTTTCTTCAGACTGTAAAAACCTTGGTGTGTGACAATACTGAACGTTGCCTGAGTCCTGAAATCCTGTAAACAGTGATGGTTAAGACATTCCCCGCCCCCACCCCGACCTTATTTACTGCAAAAAGCCCCTTCCCATGTGGCTTAGGCTGACTTGCAGGTGACCCTTTACCAAGGACAAGGCCAGAGTCAGGACTTCAAACACCCATTCTCTGCCTCATAAGTGATTAGCTAAACTGCCGGTTCCCACTGATCAATCAGAACAAAACGCGTGTTAGCCAAATCTTGGTTCCTCCCGTTCTCTCCTTACCCGAGCCTGAGGCCCCTCTGGAGAACAGGCAGCCTCTGAGGAAACCTCTGATCCCCGATCAGCCACCCCATCGCCTGCGTCCCCAGCCGCTTCCTCCTGGCCTTGTTCCCCCTTCCCTGTGAAGGAGAGAACAGTTTCGGCTGGCCCTGAGATGCTGGCAGGCCTGCAGTCAGGGCAGTGGGCGCCTCCCACCTTGAAATGGTCCTTCGTGGTGCAGTTCTGCTTACGGGGTAGACTTTGTTGCCTTCCACAGAGGACAGTTAGGGTGGGCAGGAAGGAAGTCTCTGCCACAAGTCTGCATTCCAGGCTGTTTCCAGAAGTGGGAATTCTCTCGTGCCCTGGAGTCTGGGAATGCATTTTTAGTTTCCCAGCTTCAGGTAGAATTGAAATTGAGTGAGCCAACCCACCACATCCATCTGGAGCCAGGAACTAGTGCCGTTTTAAAGCGGCAGTTTCTCCGTAAGATTACAAAAAATGCACTTAGCACGTTTCTTACTTTGACATATGCATTTGGACATCTAAAATGGGAATGGTGGTTTTTGAAGCATGGATGTAGTTTTAAATTTTGAGTGTTGTAAACCTTAATGTAGCTTCCTAAAATTTTTGCCTGATTATCTAGAGATTTACTGAACCTTTGGAGTGGTAATGAGTTTATCTGTATGACTTTGCTTTCTATGATGCAATGAAAGTACTATAATTAAAACCTCTACAGTTGGGTGCAGCAGGCGATTGGCCAAAACAAATTCTGCCTTTTGGTTTTTCTTAACCAAACAAGGGAGTAAAGAGTGTAGGCTGAAGTGGCAAATTCATTTCAGAGTACGCCAGAGCCCTCAACGATTGACTGAGCAGCCTTCTCAGGTGAACATGTAACGTGCCATGAGTCTTGGCAAGGCTGGCTACCCATGTGTGCACGTGACACCACAGAGCCACACCTGGGAAGATGTGGTTTCTGTAACAAGCTTTGGAAAACCTAAGTTCAACTTAATTATCCAACTTTGTTACAGAAAAAGCTTTGACCAGATGGCCAAAGACCTGATTCTCTTATGGTTGAGACGTGGTTATAAAATTGCCCTTACTTGGTGCCAATCAGTGTTTGTCCACAACGATACTCCTCCAACCTCACTGAATAGTTTGGAGAATGAAATGAGACTGTGAAAATCTCCTTAAGGTGAAAAGCGCTCTGGGGCACCCAGGAATATCCACACACCCTGGGCCATCCTCTTTAAGGTGGAAAGGGCTGTCGGGTCATTGAGGAGCATCCGGAAACCCTCTTTAAGGTGGAGAGGGCTGCTGTGGGGTCGCACGGGAGCATCCGCACACCCTGGGCCGTCCTCTTTAAGGTGGACAGGGCTTGTGGGGTCGCTCCGGAGCATCCGAACACCCTGGGCCGTCGTCTTTAAGGTGGAAAGGGCTGTCGGGTGGCTCCGGAGCATCTGCACACCCTGGGCTGTCGTGGCCGTCCCACTTGCTGCTCAGTCACCTCCATGTTCCCACATTCAGGCTTTGGGACACTCTTATTAGCAGCTCATCCCCTGGGCTGGCTGAGGAAGGAGTGGGAGGTTGTGCTGAGGCTGTGTCACCATCTGCCCTGACATGAGCTGGGCAAGGCAGCGGCAGTGACTCCAGAGGAACCTGGTCACTGAGGGTTCCAGTAGGAAGTGCAGAGGCTTGGGGTGGCTCTGCCGGTCGTAACCAAATGTCTTCCCTCTTATTTCCACGATTCCTTCTAGTTCTGTGCCTTGTACTACAGGGTCTCTGTGTGCCCATAAATACATGTTAGTTATGATACAGGTTCCTCTTTCCCCTCTGCCTGGAGCTGGGCCCGGGGAATGAAGTGCAGACCTCCTTGCCGCTGGATGCCCGCTGGCATGAGGCACTGCCTGCCCTGCTAAGGCCTAGAGAGAGTCCTGGAAGCCCCCTCCTGCACACCCGGCCTCTTGAGGTGTACACAGGAGATGGATGAGCTCCCCCTGTCCCACACTGAGCAGAGACTGGGGAGGCGGCGGCAGCACTGTCCCCCACAGTGCATCCTCAGTGCATGGAGGAAAGTCTGTTCATGCTTAAAACACAGCTCGTCCCCTCTCCTCAAAAGCAGGATGACAACCGCATTTACATCCGGAATCTTAAAAAAGGGCCCGTTGGGACATGAGGGTTGCAGTTGAGTACTTGCTCCGAATGCACTGGAGCTCTGGGCTCTGTGGCCCCAGGGGGTCCTCTGTCCACTGAGGGTGCTGGGTTACCTGGAAGGTCCCTCCAGCCTCTGCGATTTTGCCCTTTTCAGGTTAACATGTCGTCATTTTCCTGAACAGCACTGCCTTTCGTTCACTGACCCACGAGTGAACAGCTGGTCAGATGACCACTGCTGCTTCCTTCGACTGGGAAGTGGTGACATGATTATACTTCCATGGAACTTGGTTTGTTCTTGGTCTAGTAAGGGTTCAGTTGTATCTTGATGTTTAATCTGCAACTCTGAATTGGTCTTTTGATTGCAAAGAGATTGCTTGCTGGATTTGTTTCTAAATATTTCATGGATAATAGGAGAAACTCACTTACCTGTGTGTTCCTGTAACGTGTTTTTGCCGGGTATTTAAATGGGTGTCTTAGTAAGCCCTTAGCCCACTTTCTGTGTGTGGTGGATTCATTCTAACCATTCTGTTGAGACCAGAGGATGTGGGGTGCTGTCTCCCTAAACTAGGGGGAAATGGCATTATTCTGCCCTCCTCCCTGGGAACGCTGGGGTTTCTGGGTCTCTAACTTGGCTCCCACGCTGGGAGAGTGGCTGTGGCTTCTGGAGCCTGTTTTGTGAGGGACTGACTCCTTCACTTACTTTATTCCACACGGTCTTCGCCGCTTTATGATGCAAGGATGAGGGAGGTGGGCCCGGGGGCCGTGCCTGTGCCTCAAAGGCTCGATGCAGAAAGTCGTTGTTGGAAGGATGTTCCTTGAGGCAGTCTTTTCTACTTTTAACAGAAAAGTAACTATTCACATGGCTCTATTCTGCTAGTGATGTTTCAAAATAATTGATGCAGAGTTACAAAGATGTCGGAGACACCCATGACCCACTCCGGGCTGGGGCCAGGCCTTCTGCTCAGATGCCTTCAGACCACATTCAGATGCCAAAGATTCTTGCTTGGTTATTCTCAAACTTAAGAGAATCTAAAACACAAGCCACGGTGTGGATTTTCTCTTGAGCTCTCATGCCTTTAATTGCTTTGTATTTGGGGAATGAATGACTTCATCAAGGGGAAAGAATTTGAGGAAGCAGCCTCTGAAGCTAGGAGGGGGTGGGGAGGGGTGGCGTGAGGAGCAGAGGGAAGAGGAGCTGTGGGGGGAGGAGCCAGGCTGGGGCCTCTCCCCATGATGCTCCCCTACCCCTGTCGCGAGGCCTCGGACTGAGACTGACTTTCCCACAGGAAATGCATGTGATGATTGCATGTCGGTTTTGTGGGCTGGCCATATGGATTGAGGGAATGTCCATGTTGTGATTCTTCATTGATTTGAAGGTTGGAAAGGTTTGTGCTCAATGCAGGGGTCTCTTGGTGCGATGGGAAATGTGATCGCAGCTGCCCTCGGGGTGGGAAGAGAGGCCCTTGGTGGCCGGTGCCGGCTTTCACCTTCCTGGGTGAGCTGCCCTTGGGGTGGGGAGGGAGGCCCTCGTGGCCCTTGGTGGTGGCCGGTGCCGGCCTTGGCCTCCCCCAGTGAGTGCTGCTCCATCCCTGGTGTCTCCGACTCTTTGCCTGGCACTTTCCTCGTGGGAGGCCGTGATCCATCAGCCTTGTCCACGCGTGTCCTGCAGACTTGTGCTGACTCTGCAGGTCCAGCGGTGGTTAGAGGAGGCCCTCCTAAACGTTTAATGATGGCGCTGCTGAGTGCATGAAGCCACGTCAGCCCCAGAGTCCAGGTAGGGAACCGTGGGGTAGAGGGAAGAGTGGACAGATGGGTGCTTTCCTTGGCCCCTGGGGGCATGGCCAGGTCCACGTTCAGACCTCCTGGTTTCTCCCGTATTTCCATAAATAGCCAGGAAAGGACTCAGGACCCCTAGGACCTCATGGGTGTAAGCTGTGTCCTCGTGTGGCCCCAGCTGTGGCCAGTGACGTTATTCTCTTTAACCTCAAGCTTATTTTGTATAAAAACATGAAGGGACAGAAGTAGTTCAGGAGCCTCTGAAGACTTACGTAATTGTTAGTAGGCCTACTTTTATGATTTCTTACGTATTAAGAGCAAATCATGAAACAAACTCATTTCTGTTTGAAGGAATCTTTACTGTTCTCATTTTTGTGGCAAGTGACATTGATTCTTTGCATAGTGACAGCGTTAGTGCACTCCTGCCCAGCCCTGCTGCCCAGCGTGTCCTCGGCACACACCTCTGTCCATTGGTCTCCATTCACCAGGTCTCCATTCACCTTTCCACCTAGAATTGTAGGGGGGCACTGGGATATTGGGGCTAGAAGGAAACTCTGAAGACCACTTCTAGGGGCAGCTTAGTCAGGGCTCTCCAGAGAGACAGAGCCAGCCCGGTGTGTGTGTGTCCAGGGGGAGGCTTGCTGCAGGGGCTACGGAGGCCAAGAAGCCCCAGGACCCACTGCCTGCAACCTGGAGGCCTGGGAGGGTGTGGCTCAAAGGCTTGAGAAGCGGAGGGTGCAGATCCCACCCAGGTCTGAGGAGCTGAGACCCAGGAGCACCGGGGGCAGAAGACGGATGCCACTGGCCTGCAGCCAGACAGGTGGAGCGAGCCCAGCCTTCCCCGCCTTGCTGTTTTACTCGAGCCCTGGAGCCCTGGGTGGACAGGGTGGTGCCCCCTACACTGGCGAGGATGGGTCTCCACTTAGTCTCCACTCAGTCCAGAGGCAAACACACATCTCACACAGAAATAATGCAGAACCAGCCACCTGGGCACCCCGGGGCCCACTCAGGTCGATACACAAAACCAATGCCACGTGTGGCCCTCATGTCTGCATGTTCGCGTCACTATGCGCATTGCTCAGTCATCGCCTTGGTGAGCTTGAAAGCTCATTGTGTGGTTCTGGGTGTCTTTGTCCTGGGCAGTGGTGGTGATGACAGGCTCCCCACCACCCCAGCTCAGGCACAGGTGATGCCACCAATGGCTCCTTATTTCTCAGACGCTTGAGCCGGGTGCTCTGTGAAGCCAGTTCCACTTCCCGCAGCATCTGTTCCCTATGCCGATTCCATTCACAGTATGTGCCTTCCTTCCTTGGGGTGCAGCCTTCTGTCAGGGAGGAACTGTGTCCTATTCACCTACGTCTCCTGTGATGTATCTCATGGCTGAATAAGTACCTATAGGATACCTCGGTGGCAGAATGATAGGTTCATTGGAAGGAAAACTTAATACTTTTTTTTTTTTTTTTTTTTTTTTTTTTTTGAGATGGAGTTTCGCACTGGTCGCCCAGGCTGAAGTGCAATGGCATGATCTCGGCTCACTGCAACCTCTCCCTCCCAGGTTCAAGTGATTCTCCTCCTTTAGCCTCCCAAGTAGCTGGGATTACAGGCACCTGCGCCCGGCTAATTTTCGTTAGAGATGGGGTTTCACCATGTTGGCCAGGCTGGTCTTAAAGTCCTGATCTCAGGTGATGCACCCACCTTGGCCACCCAACGTGCTGGGATTACAGGCGTGAGCCACCGCACCCAGCAACTTAATATCATTTTTTATCATTTATAATGGGCTTGTTCAATACTTAGGTTACTTTTATTTTTTAAAACGTTATCTGTGACCTTTCAGCTTTTCATAGCACTTCTCGCGTGAATCTTTAAAAAAGGTCCTTTAGCCGTGGGGAAGGAGTTATCCGTTTGAGCAGAGGGAGGCGGAGGAACAGGCCTTAGTGGGTCTGAGCACAGGCAGTCACCCCAGCCTTGGTGCTTATTTACGTCTGTTTTCCATTCACCATAGCAGTGTCCACTCTTTGTCGGCTTAAAAATAAGCTTTTTCCTCCGCTTTCTAATCAGAACAGTTAGTTTGTTAACCATCCCTTTATCAAGAACGATGGCTGTCAGGCCTCAGATTATGACACAAGTAGTAAGTGCGGCTGACCCTGAACAACATGGGCTTGAGCTTCGAAGGATCATTTACGTTAATTTTTTTTCCCAACCAAACCCTTATTGAAAAAACCTGACTTTGTGGAGGGCCGACATTTCCTACATGCAGCTCCACAGGGTGGGCGCGGGTCCTGCGGACGCGTGGATTTCGGTAAACCCGGGGTGTCCTGGAACCGATGTCCCTGTGTAGATGGAGGGACAACTGGAGCTTTTTAAAAGTTTGTGTCCTGCCTTGTTCTAAAAAGGCTTCAAGGTAGATGCAAAATCATTTCATTCTTTCAGTTCTCTTGGTGGGATATTGATGTTTGTTCTTCAGTGTCTCAAATCCTGAGTGAGAAGAGTTAGTGCTTCAGGGACAAAGCCACAGTCTGGAAACACATATTGAGATACTCACTTTTTCTTCATGGTTTCACAAAAGGTTGTGGTCATATTTTATTCAGTTGAACCATAGGAAACTGCCAATATTTGGCTGTTTTTGGCCTACAAAATGGCAAGTTTGTATATTAAAACCAAAGGCTTCCTGGATGGGGAAAATAGGAACTAATAAGAACCTGAAGTTTTCTGTCATGGCCCACGAGTCACAGGTGAGTAAACCTGCGTGAGGGGACGTTGGCTGTACAGTATTTTCTTTGTTTTGAGACTGTCAGAAAAAGGTCAGTTTGATTCCGTGTGGGCCCTGCGCCTCGCCTTTGCTGCAGAGGGGATTTGCCATTTTACCTCTTGTCCCGAGTGCCCAGGAGGCTGATGCCATGTAGAAGACCTGCGGGTCGGTGGATGTGAACGGGCATCGGACACACTGCACCTTGGGACACATCTGAGAAGTGCGTGCTTTGCACCAGGTCTGCGGTGAGGGCGTGTTCTGTCTCCTCTCCCTTCTCTGGCTTTGCAGGCCTTGGAAGTTGGTCCTGGGAAGTGAAATTAGCTAATGCTAATTAGCTCAAGGTCAAAGCCCGAATCAGGCTCATCATTTCCTGCAGTGTCCACAGCAGCAGGTCGTAAATTCGACATGATCTGAACCCGGAGAGTCGAGATTCCGCCCTGGTTTGCGGCTCGGTTGTGTGTGGTCTTGAGAAAGTGAACATGGGTTTTCTTGACTCTGAGGGGGCCGACGAGACCTGCCCTTCACTAGGGGTGTTGAAGCATTGGGCCTTCCTGTCAGGAAGCAGCCAGGGACTCGAGAAAGCACCACGTGCCCTCCAGTTCCCTTACGTTGAAATGGTTTATACTCAGCCACGTTCCCTTATGTTAAAATGATTTGTACTCAGCCATGTTCTCTTACGTTGAAATGGTCTGTACTCGGCCATGTTCCCTTACGTTGAAATGGTTTGTACTCGGCCATGTTCCCTTACGTTGAAATGGTTTGTACTCGGCCATGTTCCCTTATGTTGAAATGGTTTGTACTCGGCCATGTTCCCTTATGTTGAAATGGTTTGTACTTGGCCATGTTCCCTTATGTTGAAATGGTTTGTACTCGGCCGTGCCAGGTCATTTTGGGAGGTAAGTGGGGAGTTTCATGTGGGGTTGTGCAGTATTCTTAGGTGTCAGGTGTGAGAGTTGAATTTGTAGAAGCTGTGCAGATAGGAAAGGGCCTGGCAGGAGTGCTATTTACATGGAGCTGACTTAACCGAGGTCTGTGCTCTCCCTGGGTCCATGTCTGGCCGTTCTCTCCCAGTCTGCAACGGGACCTTCACGTGACTCAGCACCGTCGGCCCCTCTGTCATCCCACTGCGTAAACGTCTGAGGATCTGTGCACGGCTGCTCTGTTAGTGAGTTGTGATAATGAACTGAGAAACGGTGAACACACCCTGAATTGGTTGGCACTGGTTCCACGGCCAGTTCCGCCGTGGTTGGAGTCATTCATGATAAAGTGTGCTGGACTCCTACACAGAGCTCTGAAATTCAGAGGCCCTTTAACTCGGCAGCTAACCAGCTGCTGCTTTCAGAAGACATTCGAGTCCCCTTTACCTGCCAGGGTGACCCTGGGAATTTGAAGGTGAGTGAGACAAGCTCTCCCTTTCTTGTGGACTTTACTGTCCAGAGGGGAGACGGATGTGGATGGTAAAGGAGGCCCTATCGGAGGTCAGTGCATGTCGGTTTTATTTCTTCAGCACTTGCTGTGTTCAGGTGGTGCCCCAGGCCGTGTGCAGAGCATCTGGGGACCCCGCCCGTGACATCCCAGGCACAGCTAGGATATGTGCCGTCTCCATGCTTGGCCCAGCTTTTGGGGGGAAGTACCGAGGAGGGCCCCTGCCTCTGCTGGAGAGGGTTGGAAGTCAGGGCAGCCTTCCACGAGGAGATGATCGCCAGCTGATTTCTCCAGAAAGGGTGGGGGGGGGGGGGTCCCGCGTGGGCAGAGCAGGGCGGCATGCACAGACCCGGGTGTGGGGTCTGCTGGGAGACAGCGGGGGTGAGGTGTGAAGGCAGTTGGAATTTACAGGATAAATTATCACTAAGGTGATGTTGGGAAAACATATAAAATTGGGACTCTCTGGGGTAAACGTGGACTTAGGGTTACACTGGGCGTGGGTGTTTGCAGGCTCTGAAGTCAGATTTAGGAAAGTGGGGCAGAGCTGAGCCCCAGATGACGATGAGACCACCCCGGGGGGATGTTGAATGAGGCAGGGATGGAAACCCAGTGAGTGTCCTGGGGTTGGTCCTGCAGGAAGGCGGCAGAGGAGACCAGTGCCCTCAAAGGTGTGGGGACTGCCTCTCAGTGCTGGGATTGCAGGCATGAGCCACCGTTCCCGGCCACTACTGGCATAATTTGTAAGCTACTCTCTCATACCCACTCCCATATATATATTTTTAAAACCAGTTTTATGGCTGTATTTCTTCCAAGAGAACCAAACTGTTACCTGTTTGAAGTACAAATAACAGTGACCTCGTGTTTAAAAACCAAAAATGCCATTTTGCACAGAAGTTTCCAAATACCCAGTTGGTTTGAGCCTTGCAGTGTCATACCTGCTCTCAGATTTCTACACGAGCAGGGACGGCTCGTACATCTTCAGGTTTCCATTCTACTAACTTAACTGGAGCTGTATTCTCATGGTATTTATTTTGAAGCTTGTCAAAGGAACAGTTGGGAAAAATTTCACATTTTTAGAATTTTCATAGTAATAGTTATAATTTACAAAGAATTAAAAATAGTGTTGTCATTATTTTGCTTTTTTCTAGATGTGCCTCCAAACAGGGTTGCTAATTAGTTTCTGAATCCCAGGAATTCAGAACCATACCCTTTCTAAGCAGACACCTGTAATCGAGGAATTCCACCTAGTCAGTTCACTTTAAGCATTTTAAAAATATTTTCTTTATGCTAGTTGGTACCTGTGGCTATAGTTTATTTTCACTGCTGAGGAATATTCCATGGTGGGAACAAACCGTCATTCATCTGTTTTCGTATCGATGGACATTTGGATTATTTTGGGAGGGTATGTATGTCTATTCAGCCTTCATTTTTTTCAGGATTTTTTGTAGAAGATAATGTGGTGATATAACATCCGCTGCTACGGAGGCAACATGAGCCCTCATTACAGCCACACAAACTGTCACGCCTTGTTACCAATACACAGAACCATTTTCTTCAGTTGAAACACAGCAGAACCTGAAGTCATCTGAATGGGTCCTCCGATTATTACACTTGGAATTCACTTTATATTAATATGCTTCCTAATTAGCAGAAATATCAATTATACAGAAATGTGAGAATGTCTAATTATACGTTTATAACAGAAAAAAACCTCTTGTTGAATACCCCAGAACACATGGCTATGAATGTGTCTCCCTCATGCCCTACCACTGTTTTCTTCGCTTGAAATGTGAAATGACACTTGAATATGGTTTTCTGGCGACTTAGACTCGCATCGTTCTTCAGAGACAAGATGTAA
This sequence comes from Homo sapiens, assembly GCF_000001405.40. Classification (NCBI taxonomy): domain Eukaryota; kingdom Metazoa; phylum Chordata; class Mammalia; order Primates; family Hominidae; genus Homo; species Homo sapiens. The sequence continues at coordinate 591,941 of NC_000010.11, read as the reverse complement.
AGCACATGGAGACTTTCTGCTGTTTGTGGAATGTGATTTCCTGGTCGCCTCATTCAGGCCGCCGCTGTCTTCCCCTCTGGCTGCCTGCACTGTGGGACGTCTGAGGAGAGGTCCCTGTTTCATCCTGTGGAAGTTCTGAAAAGGAAGGAGAGGAGGGTGTGGGGTGTGGTACCTTTGTGTTGGTCCCTTGAGCTTTTATTTGGAGTCTCGGTTACCTTGGTGGTTCCTGCCTTCATGTCCCTAGCTGGTGGCTTCGTCCTTGTGTCTAACTCACCGGCAGGCAGATGAAAAGGGAAGTTGTATTTAGCCAACAGCTTGATCTTATTCTCAAGGCTCAAATCGACTGGGTATTTGTAAACTTCTGTGCAAATTGGCATTTTTGGTTTTTAAACATGATGTTTTATTTGTACTTCAAATGGGTAACTGGTTCTCTTGGAAAAAATATAGCCATATAACTGGTTTTTAACAAAATAGGGGAGTGGGTGTGAGAGAGTGGCTTAGAAATTACACCAGTAATGGCAGGGCATGGTGGCTCACACCTGTAATCCCGGCACTTTGAGAGGCCGAGGCAGGTGGATCACCTGAGGTCAGGAGTTTGAGACCAGCCTGGCCAACATGGTGAAACCCTGTCTCTACTGAAAATATGAATATTAGCCAGGCGTGGTGGCGGGCACCTGTAATCCCAGCTACTCGGGAGGCTGAGGCAGGAGAAACACTTGTACCGGGAAGGTGCAGAGGTTGCAGTGAGCCGAGATCACGCCACTCCACTCCACCCTGGGTGACAGAGCAGAGACTCCATCTAAAAAAAACAAAACAAAAAAAACCAGTAATGGAAACCTGACTGTTATCTGTGATGGAGGTGGCGGCTTCTTTCATTTTTTAGTGACAGGATGAATTGGATGTGTGTTTGCAGTGTTGATCTTGACAAGGGAAATGGTCAGAACCAATGTGCCACCCAGCTTGGGCCTTGCCACCGGCAGAAGAACCTGGTGGGGGACAGACTGGAGGCTCGGAGACCGAGGGGGGAATTCTCACGCCATGAAGCTGGTGCAGTCACTGCTCCTGGACTCCTGCTGGAGGGAGGCGGCCCCTTCACCTCGCAGGCTCTGGTGCGGTGGAGACCTTAGGACGACCTGCCTAGGTCATCAGAATGGTGGCTGTAAGATATTTGAGTTTCAATAGCGTTTCTGGGTTCCTTCTATTTTTAATCTGCTTTCTAGCACTAGGTAAGTGAAGATATGTAAAGTAAAAACCCGTCTAACTTGTAGAGATATAGTGTTGTGTAGGAGCAGACTATGGCCTCTGGCTCTGTTTAAAGATTGTAGTAAACTCTCATCTGGCATGGTCAGGGTGCAAATTATCTTGTTGAATCGAAATGTGAATGAGTCAAAGCTGGCACCTGCATCGTTGATGAAACACCTGATTTTAAAGGAACATGTCGATATGCCGTAAGATACCAGCAAGTTCCTCACTGAGGTTCGGCGTGGGTTCGCAGGAACTGGGCCTTGTGTCACCAGGGTCACCTCTGGGAGAAGATGCTCAGTGTGGGCGTTAGTCATTTAGCCTTTCCAGAGCCAAGGAACAGCTTGCTGTGGTTTTTTTAGAAGCTGTATTTTGAGTCAGTTTGTCCCACTTGACTCGAAGGTGCTGTGCTATTTCAGACCTTTGCCTTGCACCATGTACTCATTTTCTTGTCCCCTGATAACTACCTTGGTTGCCCCTGGCCTGACATTCGAGCCTCGTCGTTCATGGACGCAGAGGCTCAGTGGTGGGGCTCAGGCCGTGACTCCGGTTTTCACAGTTCCGTGCCTCTCACTGTGGTTTATCACGTCACTCCCGGGACCTCCCGTTTAGAGGAAGAGTGTCCATTTCCCACAGGCCCTGTGTGATGTGGAAACCACTCCTACCTTTCTCCTGTTTGAACTATACTGTGAAAGGTATTTCTCTTCTAGTCAACCGTCAGAATCTTGATACGGTGATTTATGTAACTTATCACACGCTTCTCAGCAGTTCTTATGAATTTCATTCTGTTGTGAAATTATTGCAGTTTTAATGGCTACATTGGTCTCATGTTGTGGCCCTTGGTAACTACCTTGAAATGAATTGCCTTCCCCCTTGTGTGTTAAGGTTTCACCTGGGAGCCTTTGAGGCCTCACCTCTGCATAGGGCAGTGCCTCTACTCTCCTGACAAGAGGAAGAATCTCATTAGAGTATTTCTAGTGTGGTTTTTGCTTCCAGACAGAATTACTTTTTTCACAAAGAGACATCCACTGAAGTCGTAAATTATGCTCAGGAGGGACACACGGGTTAGCTGACAGAGTGGAGTCCAGAAGACCCAAAGATGCAAAAGCAGGTCAGTGGAATTTGAGTCTTTTCAACAAATGGTGCTGGAATTATCGGACAGCCATATGCAAAAGAGTGAAAACAAGGAGAAATTCCTGTATGAAAATTAAGGTGGACCATAACCCTGAATGTAAAATGCCAAACTAGAAAACCTGTAGAAGAAATGGAAATCGTCGAGACCTTGGGTCTTGACCTAGGGTTAGAGCTCTTAGCCATGATAACCAATGATCCATAGGGAAGAAAACAAGGAGACAAGACTTCATCAAAATTAAACTTTTAATATAAAAGACACCCCTAGGGAATTGAAGAGACACATTTTCTGCAGACAGGGAGAAGATGTCTACAAATCATGCAGCTGGCAAAGGACTTGTGTCCAGAATGCATACAGGACTCCCAAAGCTCATGACTGAGAGAACAAACCACCTGACTTAAAAGCGGGCAGAGACCTGAACAGGTGCTCCATCGAGAAGGACGGGGAGGGTGGCCTGAAAGCATCTGAAATGACCTTCAGTGCGACTGGTTTCAGCGAGATGTGCATTGCAGCTGCGGTGAATTTTTTTACACCCCTGCTGGAGCGGCTGATGGAAGGTCTTCAGCACCAGGTGGTGGTGAGGACAGAGGCAGCCGGGACTCCTGTGTGATGCTGCGGTTCAGCATGGTGCAGACGGCTCAGCAGTTTCTTACAAAACTGAACTCACACAAACGTGGGGCCCGGTGACCCCACTCCTGGGTATTTACCCCAGAGAAACAGAAGCTGATGTTCAAGAAAAACTGTGTCCAGATGTTGAACATGGGGGCTCTTGTCAGTGGCTGGGGTGAGAGTACCAGCCTGGCAGGCTGGGGTAGCCTGTGGGGCAGTTCAGGCACCACCCTCCCCGCCTGCGGGACGGCAGCTGGAGGAGCTCGAAGGCTGCCTGCCTCACGACTGTCAGCACAGCAGCCCCTCTTGGCCCTGGAGCAAGCTTTGGGTCCACGAGCCTCTGCGCTTGGACTTGCCTCCTGGGACCTCTGCCGGGACCTCTGTTACTGTCCTGATAGGGCCCTGGTGTCACTTTCCCGGCAGGGACCCAAGCCGCAGGCAGCTGCGACCTCAGATTCGGTTGAACTTTCCCTGACCTCTCATTCCAGCATGAGTGCTCACCTCACCCAGTGCGGAGCCTCAGGTTCCCTTGAGACCCCCGGAGATGGAATCTCCCAATTTAACAAGACAGTTGATGACAAGATTTGAGCAGCACTGATTTGACTCAGCTTCCAGAGTTTAAGTTCCCAGGACACAGTCCTGGTCCTTCCCTGCCCTCCTGTGGCTGGTGTGGATGTGGGGTTTCCGGAGGGTCAGGGCTGAAGCAGTGGCTGGTGTGGATGTGGGGTTTCCGCAGGGTCAGGGCTGAGGCAGTGGCTGGTGTGGATGTGGGGTTTCCGCAGGGTCAGGGCTGAGGCAGTGCCTGGTGTGGATGTGGGGTTTCCGCAGGGTCAGGGCTGAGGCAGTGGCTGGTGTGGATGTGGGGTTTCAGGAGGGTGAGGGCTGAGGCAGTGCCTGGTGTGGATGTGGGGTTTCCGCAGGGTCAGGGCTGAGGCAGTGGCTGGTGTGGATGTGGGGTTTCCGCAGGGTCAGGGCTGAGGCAGTGCCTGGTGTGGATGTGGGGTTTCCGCAGGGTCAGGGCTGAGGCAGTGGCTGGTGTGGATGTGGGGTTTCAGGAGGGTGAGGGCTGAGGCAGTGCCTGGTGTGGATGTGGGGTTTCCGCAGGGTCAGGGCTGAGGCAGTGGCTGGTGTGGATGTGGGGTTTCAGGAGGGTGAGGGCTGAGGCAGCGCCTGGTGTGGATGTGGGGTTTCCGCAGGGTCAGGGCTGAGGCAGTGGCTGGTGTGGATGTGGGGTTTCAGGAGGGTCAGGGCTGAGGCAGTGCCTGGTGTGGATGTGGGGTTTCCGCAGGGTCAGGGCTGAGGCAGTGGCTGGTGTGGATGTGGGGTTTCAGGAGGGTCAGGGCTGAGGCAGTGCCTGGTGTGGATGTGGGGTTTCAGGAGGGTCAGGGCTGAAGCGACTTGTTATTGATCAATGTCTTGAGGATAGCTGGGATTAATGACCTTTATAGGACTGTAGGTTTGGGGTATTTTTATTTCATTTTATTAAATGACCTGGATTTCACATGGGGTGACCTATGGCAGTGTGGCCTCCCACGTGCCCAGCAATCCGTGTGCTGACGCTGTTCCTGTGTGTGATCCCGTCATCCCACGAGGTGGCCACGGTTATCACCGCGTTTTACTGACGCGGAACTTGGAGAGCAGAGGGTTTAGGAAACTCCTGAAGTCATGGTATCAGCGGGACCCTGGGTGGTCCAGCCTTAGACCCTGCACTGTTTGCCCCTCGCCACGCTGTCAGCAGGGACCCGGGTAGTCTGGCCTTAGACCCTGCACTGTTTGCCCCTCGCCACACTGTCAGCAGGGACCCGGGTGGTCCGGCCTTAGACCCTGCACTGTTTGCCCCTCGCCACGCTATCAGCAGGGATCCGGGTGGTCCGGCCTTAGACCCTGCACTGTTTGCCCCTCGCCACGCTGTCAGCAGGGACCCAGGTGGTCCGGCCTTAGACCCTGCACTGTTTGCACCTCGCCATGCTGTCAGTGGGGACCCGGGTAGTCTGGCCTTAGACACTGCACTGTTTGCCCCTCCCCATGCTGTCAGTGGGGACCCACGTGGTCTGGCCTTAGAACTCATGCTGGTCGCCCCTCCCCACCTTGTTGTGGGGTTTTCCCCACAAAATGTGGGGGGCAGCATTTGATAGCTTGTGAAACAAGACCAAGGCTTACCATGAGTGGATAAGCCATTATCTATCTGAGATCCAGAACGTTCCCTGGACCTGGCCTTGCAGATGTCACCTAAAGGGAGGTAAAAACATTTTCATTGTGGTCATTGGGGCTCTTGAGATGGTGTTTTTCCCAGTGAAAGTTTCCTCACAAAAATCTGTTAACTCAATACTATGTGAACAGGAAGAGATGTGTTGGGCTCTAGTTAAATGTCTCAGAGCCACAGAAGTAAATGAGGGCACCTTCCGAGCACAGCCTCCCGGAGGAGGCCGAGAAAGTTTGCCTGGAGGGTTTACCATGAAGCGGGACTTAGGGCTGGTCTGCCTGGGGTGGCCTCTGGCGTGACGTAGGTTAGTGAAGTAGTGAGGGGTGGTGGCGTGAGGTTGGTGGTCCCTGAGGAAGCCCCTAGCAAGGCCGCTTGTGGTGGGGTGGAAAACTGCTGTTCAGTGGCTGTAATCCTGGTTTCATGTGTCCGATATGCATTCCTGCACTTGGATCCCAGCCAGGTCAGATGGCCCTGAAAGGACATTCAGGCTGTGATGGCTGCGTCCATTCTCAGCATCTGCAGGGCCTTCCCATGTGTGTTTCCATTTTCTTTCAGAGGCTCAGCACAATTTAATTCTCTCTCCCAGAGAAGTTGTGAGAAATAGAAGGAAACGTGGAATGAAGACGTGGTTGAGGGAAGTGTGGTGTGGTCTTGGACCTTACTTTGCCTTGGTTGGTGCTCAGGAACTCCACCTGCCCTTAGAGTTGAGCCGTTTCTGCCCAGGAGTCCTGCCTTTAATCCTGTGTCTCCTTGAGGCCCGTTGAGACACTGCAAGAAGCGTCATTACCAAATTGCCTTTTCCTTTTACAGCAGTTGGATATATTTGCTGCAAAACAAAGGAATAACCCCCCTTAACCCTCTAATATGGTGATTAAATGCATTTAAGTATAGATAAAATTCAGTCTTGAATGGCCTGGTGTTTTAATCATCTTTGGGTCATGTAACTAGTGTTGTTGGTGATTAAAATCTGACAGCTTTGTTCTGCCACAATCCTCAGTTTTGAATGATGATCTTCCTGGTTGTACCTTGCAGCGGCGTTTGTGGCAGTAGAGAGCAGAGTGGTGGTTCCCAGAGGCTGGGAAAGGACAGAGGTGAGGCCCCTGCAGGACGCCGGTGTTCCTGGTTTAGGGGATTTGGGCTCAGCCACCTTCCTGTGTCCATGTAAATTATACCCAGGATCATTTCACTCGCCCCGCTTCAGTTGAGTGTTGGAGCTTCAGGATGTGTGTGCCCACATCACCTGGGCCGTGATCCTGGAGCCAGGTGAGACGGATTTCCCGGTTTTATAGAATTACTCTGGGATTATTAAAAGCGCTTGAGGCATTCAAATGCGATTTACTGAATGTAATACTATGTGGAATACTCAGGGCTGTGTGTGTTTGGGAACACCCGTCTTCTGAGCGAATTCAGTAGGGAATGGAGAGAGGCCTCCTGTCAGCTTGGTCCTCTGTTTCCAGCTTGTGAGGGCGATGCCCGCTGGTGTCCCAGGGAGAGAAAAACAGGGTGGCGTGGGATGGGGAACGCTTGCTCTGACGAAGTCAGTGGGAAAGTGTCTACACAAACGTCGGTGTTCTCCGGGCTCATAGAGGTCAAGCTTGTTTTGTGTTGAGGGAAAAGTACCCTTGTTCCTTACCATTTGAATGGTGTCCAAGGCTCTTTCTGCTGGAGAGGTGATGCCCGTGAGTGGGGGCCAGGTCGTGGGCCCTGAGATTGAGAGGTGATGTGCGTGAGTGGGGGCCAGGTTGCGGGCCCCGAGATTATCTGAGAGGTGATGCGCGTGAGTGGGGGTCAGGTCGCGGGCCCCGAGATTGAGAGGTGATGCGCGTGAGTGGGGGTCAGGTCGCGGGCCCTGAGATTGAGAGGTGATGCGCATGAGTGGGGGTCAGGTTGTGGGCCCCGAGATTATCTGAGAGGTGATGCGCGTGAGTGGGGGTCAGGTCGCGGGCCCCGAGATTATCTGAGAGGTGATACGCGTGAGTGGGGGCCAGGTTGTGGGCCCCGAGATTATCTGAGAGGTGATGCGCGTGAGTGGGGGTCAGGTCGCGGGCCCCGAGATTGAGAGGTGATGCGCGTGAGTGGGGGTCAGGTTGCGGGCCCCGAGATTGAGAGGTGATGCGCGTGAGTGGGGGTCAGGTCGCGGGCCCCGAGATTGAGAGGTGATGCGCGTGAGTGGGGGTCAGGTCGCGGGCCCCGAGACTAGAGAGGTGGTGCCCGTGAGTGGGGGCCAGGTCGCGGGCCCCGAGATTATCTGAGAGGTGATGCGCGTGAGTGGGGGCCAGGTTGCGGGCCCCGAGATTGAGAGGTGATGCGCGTGAGTGGGGGTCAGGTTGTGGGCCCCGAGATTGAGAGGTGATGCGCGTGAGTGGGTGTCAGGTCGTGGGCTCCGAGATTTGGAATCTGTCAACTGATTTCCTAAAAACACAGATGCTTGGTAAAGATGTTCCTGATTAGCTAAAACATTTCAACAGGACATGATGGCTGGTGGTTGTTTAAAGAGTATCACAATTTTCCTGTTACTTTTTAAATGCCTGTTGAATAGGGGAGTATTGGTGTATATTTTTCTTTTCCTGTCTGCATAGTTGATGTTTTGTTTTTAGTTATGTGGGGGTGCAGTTAGCAGGATTTAGAAGTAGTCTCAGCCCTGGGGAGACTTCAGGGCAGCCTCAGAGTCAGTGCTGAAGGGATGCAGGGATTTGGGGGCCACCTCCTCCATAGGACAGACACCAAGGGACAGAGGTCAGTGAGGTCACAAAGACGGACCCACCCAGCACCCTGGCCCCCGCGCCTCTCTCTTTCACATTTGTGGCTGCTCAAAGCTGCTCTCCTTCTGCGTCATTACAGGCGATCTCTAGGCACGTGCTTGGTTCTTGGAGAAGTGGCGTCTGGCTGTGGTCAGTGTGGGCCCTCAGGTCTTCCATGTTTTTGGCTCACATCAGTATTGGGCAGTGGTGTGTTTTTGTTTTGGAGCGATCGGGTGGATTTCGGCTTTGATAACTCATTTAATACCTGTTTCTGCATCGGGTGTTCTTTATTTTATTACAAGGAGGATGACCGTGGCAGAACTGCTTCCGGCTGTTGAGCGCTGGCTGAGAGCTGCTTGGCGTGCACAGATCGGTTTCAGCACAGTCTCGGGAGCAGCCCCGGGCAGTGCAGAAAGCGAGGCCCAGGTGAGGCTGTGGGACACAAGAGGGCCCTGACCTGTGTGCTTTCAGCCTCTGAGCCGCCCCTCTCCTGACTGCTTACAAAGTTATATCGATACTGAAATCTGAACATTGAAAGTTCACTAGGAGAATGCCATTTCCAGGGATGTTACTGTGAACCTTCCGTAAAGGACCTTATGTAGGATAATGAATTGCCTTTTAATGCAGGTACCAAACAGGCTCCCTGGGATAATTCATTCCATATAAACTTTTTAAAAAAATGTTCCCAACTAGCTATCCTATAATTCTCTTTCTGCTAAGAGAGGTGCTCCGTTCTCCTTTGCGCTTTAGTGATATGCCGTGTTTGCTTTGCATGCCCCTTGGCTTTTCAGAAGAAAACTGCGTTTGCAGATGCACTTGGAGTACAACGTTCTTTTTCCTATGAGTGTATTTATGGTGAAGGCTCCATTGGAGGAGATATGCTCATGCATTTCTCTGTGTGTTGTGGGGGATAAAAGTAGTCACTGATTCTTGCAAACCTAGAAGATGCCCAAAAGGTAATACATGTGAAAATATGTGGCAACTGCCATAAATCGCCATGTATTATGTGTGGCAAAGTGCTGTGTGTTTTGTTTATGGAGAAAATTAGTCTTCCCCATTTTCCCAAGAGGTAACACTTGAATATACATCAGAAATTTTATTTGAAAATGGTACCTTCCTTCTATTGTTTTGAGACTATATCATAGGAACTTAGGTATATAATTTTCTCAATTAGAACCTCCAGGTTTTGTCATAGCCCCTTTGTGTCATTACAGTGTCTGATTCCACTATATTTAAACCAGGAAGAGGCCGGCCACGTGGCCACGCTGGTGCTTCCCAAGCACAGGGTCTCACAAGGGCGTGAACACTTGGTTTGGAGACACGCTTTTCTTCCTGATAGAAACGCTATCACACCATTCTCTAGTCTTCTGCGGTGTTTCCTCCACCTAAACGCATCCAGTTTCTGTTGGTTTTTAGTTTATTTATATTTTCTGAGACAGGGTCTTGCTCTGTCACCCAGGCTGGCATGCAGTGGTGTGATCCCAGCTCACTGCAGCCTGGACCTCCCTGGCTCAGGCGATCCTCCCACCTCAGTCCCCCAAGTAGCTGGGACCTCAGGCGCGCACCAGCATGCCTGGCTAACTTTCTTTTCTTTGTTGCAGGGATGGGGTCTTGTTATGTTGCCCCGGTGTGACTCTGTTTTATGTTAAGTGTACGGTGGGTTTTTACGGAGAACCTCTGTATTTGGGTTGGGTGCATGGCATCCTGGTCAGGGAGCTGCCCTCAGGCTTCCTTTCTGCCCAGCAGGGTCACGAGTGGTGTCTCCACCTGGGCTGGTGTGGGTGCTGGCCGGTAGGGCTTAGCCCTGGGCTGCAGACTGGTGCCAGTCCACGGTCTGTTAGGAACCGGGTTTTTGTAGCAGGGGGTGGGTGGCCGGTGAGTGAGCATGACTGCCTGAGCTCCGCCTCCTCTTGGATCAGTGGCAGCATTAGATTCTCATAGACACTGGAATCCTATTGTAAACTGTGTTCTCATAGACGTTGGAACCCTATTGTAAACTGTGCGTGAGGGATCTCGGAGGTGCTCCTTATGAGGATCCAATGCCTGACCTGAGGTGGAACGGTTTCATTCCAAAACCACCCCCCAGAAAAATTGTCGTCCACGTAAACCCATCGCTGGTGCCAAAAAGGCTGGGGACAGCTGGCCTAACATGTGCTAAGATGTCAGTAGATTTTTGGACTCGGACCTCAGTTGGAGAGGATTAGATTTTGAAAGGTGGGGGATTGAAGGCTTCTCAAGGACAAGTTTTCATCTCCAGTAGGGCCTGGGCAGAACCGGGTAGAACTGACCCAGAACCTGACAACCAGCCAGCCCCGGCTCACTGCCTGCATCCTGTGTGTGCAGCCTTGCTGTTTGATTCTCTCGTGGTGGTGGGTTCCATCCATGGCCTCAGAGGGTAATGGAACCCATTACTTCAAGGCTGACCTTATTTAACTTTACCAAAAATACATTAAAATCATTTAGTATAAATCTTCCAGATACTTGTATCTTTTCTTTTTCTAGAGGCTTTTAAGTATTGCAACTTAAAAATCTTCAAATATAACTTTAAAAAAAACCTCTAAGTACATTTTTGATTAGCACCTTTGACAGCTTAACATGTTAAGTAAATTCCCTTGACTTTTGTATTCCTAGAAACTCATATTTGCAGAAGACTGCCTGTATTTTGTCAACAGTGGCCACTGTTTGACCATCATACTTGCCATCTCTCATTTAGAAAGTTGGGTGTGGATGTATTAACTTTTTAGACATACAAACACATGGGCTGTTTTTGTTGTTTTTTCCCCAGCTGAATTCAAGAAAGGGAAACAAGTAGACTAGAGTAAGTATCAGAAAGCGTCTAAGTGGCCAGGTGGGGGATGTCCACTTTGTGGTGGGGAATCCTACTTTGGTGTTGGATTGCATTCTGCCAGACATCGCTCCTAGAAAAGCTGACCCTGAAGGGCTTGGTGTTGCCCTCACCCTGGGACATTGGTCTCTCTCACCAGAAAATGAATAATCTGCCAGAATACTGTGAGTCAAATTGTCAGAACTCGATTAAATAAGAGGCTTTGTCTCAAACGCCAAAACATGAGGACACACTTCTAATTTTTTAAGGAGTGCTTCATCGTGAGTCAGTCCTGACGTGTACTATGTTAGGAAACCTCTGAACTCCACAGTCAAGCCAGAGCTCTGACAGAAAGTGGTTGCGCCCTTCTCACTGTGTTTTTGTCACTAGCTTTATTCATGAAAATTATTTCCTTAAAACCCTCTTTGTATGACTTCTATTACAGTTTGGAAAAAAAAATTATGTGGAACTGGAAGCCTTTCTGCAGCGTTAATATTCATGGCCTGTTCTGGGTCTCGGTATATGTGTACTATACAAATGTGTACTTGTATGTGGTGTATGCGTACTATGTATTGCCATTGTACATGTATTTACAATGTATAGGTATGTACACTACATGTGTCCTACATGTGTGCATGCTATGGGCATGCATGTACATGTGTACATATGTGCATAACTATGGGCACTATTATATCCACACTATTTGGACATGTATCTGTACTGCATATGTGTACATACATGCATGTATTTAACGCCATATATGTACCTGTGTACATACACCATATGGGTATTTGCACATTTGTGTACTTATATATATACATGTGTGCACACTGTAAGCATGCATGTACACTACGCACACTGAATAAACTTGTGGATATGTGCACACTAATGTACGCATGCTGCATATGTACATACACTATGTACTGCATATGTACATACTTTACACATGTATATGTTAGTGTACTGACATATATACATTATATATATGTGCATATGTATACACTACGCATGTGTAGGCATGCTGTAGTGCACTGTACATCGGATATGTGTACACTATATGCATGTATATAGATGTTATACCTATGTACATACAAATGTGCATGTGTATGCTATATGCATGTACATACAGGTTATAGTATACCTGTGTACACTGGATAGAGATGCGTGTACATGCTATTCATGTACATACATGTTATAGTGTACCTGTATATGTACATTGGCTATGGCTGTGCTTTATTCATGTACATACATGTTATAGTGTACCTATATGTACATTGTATGCATATAGATTGTGTGCTAGATGCATGTACATGTGTTATAGTGTACATATGCATGTACACTGTACAGATGTGTGTACATGCTATGCATGTACACATTATAGTGTACCTATGTACATATGCTATATGGATATGGATGTGTATGCTCTGCATGTACATACATTATAGTGTACCTATGTATGCTGTATTGATATGGATGTGTGTACACTATGTGTACATACATGTTATACTGCACTTACGTACATACACTATGGATCTGGATGTTTGCTCTATGCATGTACATGTTACAGTGCACATGTTTGTACACTATTTGGATGTGTATGCTCTATGCATGTACGCATGTGTTATAGTGTACCTATGTATGTACACTTTATGGATCTGGATGTGTGTATGCTCTCTGCATGTACACACATAGTGCACTTATGTTTGTACACTGGATCTGTATGTGTGTACGCTCTATGCATGTACACATGTGTTATAGTGTACCTATGTACATACGCTATATGGATCTGGATGTGTGTACACTGTACACACATAGTGAACTTGTTTGTACACTACATTTGGGTGTGTGTACACTATGCATGTACACACGTATTATAGTGTACCTATGTGTGTACACTACATGAATCTGGATGTGTGTATGCTGTATGCATGTACACATGTTAGTGTACCTATGTACGTACACTAAATGGATCTGGATGTGTGTATGCTCTATGCATGTACATGTTATAGTGCACTTAGGTTTGTACACTGTATCTGGGTGTATGCTCTACGCATGTACACATGTTAGTGTACCTATGTACCTACACTACATGGATCTGCATGTGTGTATGCTCTATGCACATACACATGTTGTGCACTTATGTTTGTACACTGGGTCTGGATGTATGTACGCTCTACCACATACACGTTATAGTGTACCTACATATGTACACTACATGGATCTGGATGTGTGAATGCTCTATGCACGTACACATGTTACAGTGTGCCTATGTGCACACACTGTGGATCTGGATGTGTGTATGCTCTATGCACGTACATGTGTGTTAGTGTACCTATGTACGTACACTATATGGATCTGGATGTGTGTGCTCTCTATGCATGCACACATGTTATAGTGCACTTATGCTTGTACACTATATGTAGTTGGATGTGTGTACACTATGCATGTACACATGTTACACTGTACCTATGTACATATAGTATGTGGATCTAGATGTGTGTGTGCTCTATGGCAACAGGAATAGGGCCCCTGCAGGGATCCCGGAACACACCATCTCGTTAGCACCGGAGAGTATAGGATGAAAACAGTTGTTCATTACAAGCTAGTGAAATTTGGCAGGTTAGTAGATGCTTTGCAATGATTTAGGAACCAATCACTTCCTTGATGTGTGTGTTCCTGACATCATAAACAGCTCTGTGAGGTGTGTTTCATCCCCAGATGAGAGAAACGAAACAACAGGGACTTGGTGATTTCAGTGAGGTAGAACTAATATAGCAGCTGTCTAGCTTTCCATATCACAACTTTGTCAGCCCTCAGCTCAATAAATGAGAAGTCGCCACTCATCAGGAAACGTGTTCATTTTCTACTGTTCTTTATTCGTGGAGTATTTACTGCCTTGTGTTCTTCATGATGTAGCAAAATCCCTCCTAGTGTTGTGAATATAAACAGTTCATGACAAATGCAGTATCTTCTTTGTTAACGTTGAAAATGATATGTAAGTTCATCTTCAGGTACTGTTTGGAAGGATGAGAAAGAAGATATTTAGGATAAAAGAAGAATAGAGAGCTTTCGAGTAAACAGGGAAAATAAGGACTTTGTGCAAAACATTTCCAAATGTGGAATTTGAGAATAATCTCAAATCTAAGATTGTAGTTATTTGGATTTTTAAAATTAGTACTTAGTTTTCCACACCTTTGGGAATTTCACCCTTGATGGAGGATTGCAAGAATAATCTGATTTTTCAGAACAGAAGGACAGTCTGTCTCAAAGGTAAATTCCAGGTTCTACCATGGAGAAATAGAAATTGCTCCCAACTTTCCAAAAGGTTCTTAAGTTCTTTCTTCTTTTGTGGTTAAAAAAAAAAAAACACAAAAAAACAAAAGAAACAAAACAAAACATCTCTGGGTTTAGTCTCAGCCAAGTTCCTCTTACTAGGTTGCCTTACATTTCTCCCAGGTGTTCAGAGTCTTCATCATTACTAGTTATTTAGCTTGTTAAAAGCAAAACCTTGTATTAGTTAGATCTGAGCACCTTGAAGGCAGGGCTTTGTTTTATACTTTAAATAAGCAGCAGGCTGATGGCAGGGCTGGGGCCCTTCATCCCATCATGCGTTCCTCTGAGCATTCAGAGTTCTCACTGCGTGCTGAGTGTGGTGTTGGCTCTTGAAGGTTTAAATAGGAATACGAGGCTCTGCGACTCGCGAAGCTCTTACCACCTTCATAGAGAGCTTGGTGACGGCTTAGCATGAGAAAGTACACACAACAGGTGTGCAAACTGTTACGGCCACATAGAAAGGGTACTGACTTAAACGTGACTAATTTCTCATGCTTATTTTTGCCTTTATTTCTAGTTACAGTACCGATACTTCTTCTTCCTCTAAATTTTTGCTAATCGCTAGTGAATTAGTGATAAACTGTATTTACATGTTCTCTAAATCCAGTGACTTAACTGGAGGTCATTCTTCTTGTACCATGTGTCAGTGCTATGTCAGGATGGCTCAGTTTTACCTTGTCAAAGGATTAATTGCAGTAGGATGCAGCCATACTGGAACTTACTCATTTATGGAATATCTGCGCTTTATTTTTTGTTGTTAGTCACACTTGAGGTGTGTTCAAATGTAAACATGCTGAGCAGTGTTAGAAAGATATACAAGATTGTAACGAAGTAAGAAAAAACTGGATCAACTACCAGCTAATGAATTTTATATTTTAAGTAAATGGAATGTGGACCTTGGCAATTAGTTTTCATCTTGCCCTCTTATTTTTTTTTTTATTAGACAGAATCTTGCTCTGTCACCCAGGCTGGAAGGGTGGAGCACAACAGTACGATCTTGGTTCACTACAACCTCCTCCACCTCCCAGGTTCAAGAGATTCTTATGCTTCAGCTTCCCAAGTAGCTGGGGTTACAGGCGCGTGCCACCATGCCTGGCTAATTTTTTATTTTTAGTCGAGATGGGGTTTTGCCATGTTGGCCAGGCTGGTCTCCAACTCCTGATCTCAAGTGATCACCCACCTCACCTTCCTAAAGTGCTGGGATTATAGGTCTGAGCCACCATCCCTGGCCTGATCTTCTGTTTTAATATTGGTTATTCAGTCTCAATGATAGCACCTGGTTGTATTAAATTGGAGTAGAAAGCACAATTGAAATGAATGTGGTTGTGTATGTACATGCTAATTTAGCGCTCATGGCAGCACTGTGAGGTGGGCATTGTTTCTGAAGGAATGCCGGATGGGCAAGTCAGGGCTTAGATACGGGACTTGTGGGCAGTTACTGCTGTCCCATGGCTGAGACCAGGCCTGTCTGACTCCTGTACCCTGAACGCTTCTTAACATTGCCTTTCAACACACGTATGAGTAATTGTCAAGAGTCAGTGAGTGCTCGAGTGTGATGTGGTCTGTGGCGTTTGCCTCGCAGTGTTGCTTTGGCTTGGGATAACTGGGCGACAGCTCCCTTCCTTCTGCAGCTGCCTGGGAGTCCCAGGAGAACCCCACTGATACCATTTATAAATGCTGGACATGTGACATTCTGCTTGGTGCCAGCACATCTGGAATCCGACAGCGTAGTTAGATTCTTGGTCAGCAAACCCGTACAGGAGCGTGTGAACTCTGCATTTGCTTCTCCCGGACAAAGGTGAGTTCCTGGTCACTGTGCTGGATGGCAACAGGTGTGGCCTCAGGAGCAGGACAGAGACTGGCACCCACGTGCAGGAGTAGCATCTGCAAGGAGGTGGGGGATGTGACAGACACAAAACCACTGAAATCCTGAAAGTGCGAGCTCAGCTGTTACCATGGAGGAGAGGCGCAGGTAAGACCAGATTGTTTCTCATTGTTGCACGTTTCTGAAAATGACCCTAAATTGACTCTTCTTTGGCTCCTTGCGCTTCCTAGTTGGGTGGGAGGAAACTGTGCCCCTGGCTCTGGCCCTGCTTGCGGCGAGATGGAGGCTGCTGTAGCTTGCCCTGCCCTCCCTATGACTTCCTCTGTGCTGTTCTCCTCCAGGAACAGTTCTGCTGAGCAAGCTTGGACTCTGCTCCCTTCTGCTCTTGGATGTCATGTCTGGAAGGCTTGTGTTCTTTTCTGGGTTTTGATGATGCTGAGCTATGTTTTTGCAAGGATCACACGTGCCCATAGCAGGGAGAAGCCCCTTTGCGACTTCAACATCTTGACACTCTCAGCAGAGCTCGCTGTCGAAGTTGAGAGACTTTTGCGTTTGTTTTGGCAGAAGCTGAGTTTCAGTCCTAGGACGGCCTCAGCACACTTGATCCCAGCTCCTTTCTCTCACTGCTCCCCTCGTGTATGGCAGAAATCATATGCCCTGAAGTTTACCAGTCCCTTCATTTGAAAACTTCAGTTAATGTATATGATCCTCAAATGAGAATTTTACTTTTTATAAAAGCAATCACAAAGACTGGATTTTGCGATACCAGTGTTTTATGTGTAGATTAATTGTACTCACAATAAACTTTGTCTTCTAAGTATTAATAATTCCATGTTTCAGATTAGCATGGAATCATGCCCTGGAGTAGTTTTGCTTTTCCGCTGTTTTTGGCGAAGGTAAAGTTGAGAACGTTGTGATATTAGCTGTAGTGAGCCTTTAGTTCCTTCTGTCTATTTTCCTTGAAGCCAAGACCAGCAGACTGATTGATACCAGTTTGTGAGCGCCTGGCATCTCCTAGGCCTTTCGTGGGTCTTCCCTCTGCTGTCTCGTGGGCAGAGCAGTCACTCGTGGAAGGTGAACCTGAGAATCTGTGGAATTACATAAACTTCATAGCTCTCTTCTGTGACAAACCGAATCACATTAAACCCAGTAAATTGTAACAGCAGGCTTTGCACATACAAAGCATTGAACACCAGAACAGGAAACCGCGTTGCGATGCTTCTGGTCCTGCACAAGACCTCTAGTATCATAGCACATTGAAGATAGTGGCAGCATTGAGTGTTTGGAAATATTATGTACCATGGCCTTGATTTTCGAGGGCCTGGATAAACACCTCTGTGGTTATGGCAAACTTTATCAATGGGAGCTGAAGGTTAGTGCTGGGGCAGATTGTGTTTCAAAGAATCAGGGTCTCTTGAGTATGTTTCGGTTTTCCCATGAAGAAGAAAGATGTTACCTGTTCTTTCCTGGACTGTGGCTATCAGGGTGCCCCACCACGATCACTAATACATGTACCCTGTTTCCATTTAGCTGGGCTTGGGCCAGAGTCCTTCCGTTGTCACACGTCATATGAGGCTGTCTGCTGAGGAATTGTCTTCTGCTTCATCGTTAGCATGTTGAAATATTGCTTTCCAAAGCATATTCTACTTTATCATTTGTATTTATGTAAAATAATGGAATGGTTATTCTAACCGTGCAGTTTCCTATCCTTGGTTATTTAATTGCGGAAAGATAACAGTGGGTTTTATTTTGCTAAAATCTGCTAGGAATTGTGCAAAATCTTTGTGAAATGCCCAATTTCCTAGCTTAAGTTATAGATGTTTGTATATAAGAGAAAAAGCCTATTGCTAAAAGCAGCAATGTCTTTATCGATGCAAAAAGCTTTAAACTTACTGGCCGTGTAGTCAGTAAAATGCATCAGAACGTGGCAAAAATTGAGAAAAGCATTGAAGTTTTAAAATCTGCTATGCAGTTTTCTTCAACTCCCTTGCAAGATACTTAATTTGAGTAGAAGACAGAATAAAGTGTTCCCGTTGAGGAAAGTGACAGGGAGGACCGTTCAGAACGTGTTTGGAATCTGAGCAGTCCTGTCACGCTCTAGTCTGTGATGTGGTGGTGTGTCCATGGTACCACTTTATAGAACTTGAAGAATGCTGCTTCTGTGAATAAAATACATTTTATTCTTGGCATTTCATTTGTGAGTTTTGAGATGTGTAAAACGTGTTAATGGTTTCTTTCTCTTACACAATTACTTGTTCTTTTTTTTTAAGTACCTACAAGACTCTGAAGCACATAATCACTTAAAAAGAAAAGAGGAAAAAAAAAGCCGGCGTGATGGCTCATGCCTGTAATCCCAGCACTTTGGGAGGCCGAGGCGGGCGGATTGCTTGAGCCTGGGAGCTTGAGACCAGCCTGGGCAACCTGGTGAAACCCCATCTCTACTGAGAACACAAAAATTAGCTGGGTGTGAGGGTTGCACACCTGTAGTCCCAGCTACTCTAGAGGCTGAAGTAAGAGAATCGCTTGAGCCTGGGAGGCGGAGCTTGCAGTGAGTGGAGATGGCGCCCCTGCCGTCAAGCCTTGTTGACAGAGGGCGACCCTGTCCGAAAAACAGCAACGATAATAACATGTGGGTGAACTGCCCGGCTGCGCTCTGTGTAAACTAGAGTAGAATAAATCCAGTTATGTTTGTCTTTTATTAGCATTGAAATTTTCTTAATCATCCCTGTTTTTTCATTACATTGTAGCAATATATTGCTGCTTAGAGTCTGGAACAAGTAGGCTTCTCTTGATCATCAGGTTGTTACTGGATTGCTAAAACTTGGCATGATTTTCCCTTCCTTGGATGTGAGTTATAGAACTTTGCCTTTTGAGGTGACATGCTGCATTATGACAGCAGACACAGGAACTCCCAAATAATTCACTTACATGCTAAAATGTACGTGCTTTGTAGCATTTCCCTCCGAGAATGAAAATGGTACCTCTCATTCGTGGGTGGATGATGCTATTTGCTGAAAACATGTTTATTTACTGCCTCAGTCCGCAGTTGGGTAGCCCTGTCCTTTGTAGGATATTCAGGGAGCGGGGACATCTTGAGTCTTGAAAGTCTCTCTCTGCGAGATGGCAATCTTCCGGCTGCCTGTTTAGCGAGTCCCGCCGGCTGTCATTTACTGGAGAGTGCAGTTTCCTGGCTGCCCTGGTCTTTGAGGGGAGGGAGACTGAGGGGTCATTTTCTCACCTGCACCAACGTGTTTATTAAAGCTGGCTTGTGGATCATTTGGAGGAAAACCCGCATCTGTGACTTTCAGATGAATGGAAGTCATTTTAAAAAACTTTTTTTTGTCTATTATGGAGAAGTTTTGTCCTTGTGATCTGTGAATACAGTCACTGGAGAGCAGAATGTTGACCGTGTGAGTGCTTACAGTGTACATACAAAGTCACATCTTCACAAGTATTACATTAAAAAGTGACAAATAATAGAAAACTATTTTTCTCATTACAACCTCGGTAAGAAGCTGGCAGTACTCTTTTGTTTTTGGAGGGGTGTGATGGGAATATTGAGAGAGTGTCATCAACATTAGACTCACCCACTCTGCAAATCCTGTGCTGGCTGGAATGGGGACCCCGTGATGGAAAGATGCAACCCTCTGCCTGGACGGAGTTGAATTTTTGTGGCGCTCAGGATGCACAGTTAACTGCAATATAAAGGCAGAGTGTGAAACGCTGTGGAGGCTGAGAGAAGAGATGTGGTTAGCAAGTATGAGTGAGATGTTTGGGGCGTGTTAGCAAAGCTTGCTGCACACATGCCAGGTGCTGTCTGCACACGTGTGATCCTTAGAACACTGGCGTGTGGAGCCATGAGGCTGTCGAGGGCCCCAGCTCCCGGCAGGCTGAGGGAGTCTCCTGTTACCACTAGGATAACCGTGATCGAAGGCTGTCACTCAATCCCGAGAAGGGTCTCCTTTCAGAGAGGAAAACACCCCTAGAGCCTCGGGCAGAATTCAGTGATTTTTTATTATAATGTTGCTTAGATTTCGCAAACATGAAACCAAGAACATATTTCGGAATGCTTATGGTTCTTTTGTAACCATGGATACAAAATAATTCGCAGTTGATGGACAGTTTTTGGAAGCTGAACTGCTTACATTATGAGCACGGTGCTCTCCCTACTGCCCTGGGCCTTGCTCTGGTTTGCTGGGGAAGCTTTGCAGGGCCTCTTGGCTGGGATACCTCTCCCATGTCCCATGTTGCTACCCCTGGTCACAGCCATACTGCTGGGCACCAGCGCCGTGAGGACACTGAGTGGACACGGAGCCCACGGGGCAGCAGCTGGTCATGAGGTGGCATCCAGATGGTCCAAAACACGTTTCTGTTCATTAAGAATAATCATTGCAATAAAAACAGAGTGAAAGAAAACCCTCTACTGACCTGACTGAGAATGTGTCAGCTGAGTTGGATGGGGAAGTGCAGTGAGGAAGGTGAGGGCTGAAAGGAGATGAGGGAGGGAGAGGAAAGGAAAGAAGGGAAGTGAAAGGGGGAGGGAGAATGGGAGTGAAGGAGGGGGGATGCAGGAGGAGAGGAAGAGAGAGGGCAGTGGGCAGGAGCCTGGGAAATGAGCCCCGGAGCCGGTTCCCGACCCTCGCGGGTGCGTCACAGCTGATTTTCCAGGAGAGGCGGCCTGGCAGGGCTGACCCTTAGGAAGTGTGATGGCCGGGGGGAGCTGATTGGCCCTCAGTGGGGCTGTTGCTGACCTGAGATGTGGTCGACGTTATCCCGAAGAGGTCGTCCGCACAGCCACTGTTTGCTGTCAGGTTGGAGAGAGAAGTGCTTCTCCCTGTGGGTTCTTTCTGTTTTGTGGATTTTTCCCGGTTTAGCTGAGCGGCCTGTCATTGGAAATGTCAGGGATTCCTCACATGTCTCCATTCTACAGAGCAGTCGGCCAGCTTCAGATCCTGTAATTGTGGGGGCACCACTCTCGTGTCGTTAGGCCAGTGCCGGTCCAGCGTGGAAGCCGCAGCCCAGGGCGCTGGGAAGCCTGCGGGGCTCTTGCTGCCGGGGCTCCGGTGGGAGTCGTGCGCTGGAAGAATAACGTCTGTTGAGCAGAGCCTGGCGAGGAGGGGGATGCTGCTGTTGCAGCAGTACATGGAATTTCAAATGATGAATGAAACACGCTTTTAATTATTACCAGAGCTCCATGCTCTGCGTTTCTTCAAATGGAAATGTTGTGCTGAAATGAATTTGCTGTTAATCGGTTGCCTCATGCAAGGTAGTGTGCTGGGAGCAAAGTAGGTTGTGGACTTATCTACAAAGCTTCCTCCTCTCAACAGACTTTAATCAGTTGGATGGTGCTACACAGGAATACGTGAGAATTTGTGTGAGAAAGGCGATAGGTGCAGACCTGTGTGACTGGCAGGTCGGGTGGTAGGGGAGGTTTGAGAGAAGCTTTTGGCTGAAGTAGTGTTGGGTGCAGGTACTGAAGTGTGATGTCTGGCTGGATGGAAGAGCGCAGGCCTCTGGGCTGCGGGAAACTGGTAAAGGAGGAGGTGGAGAGATGTGGGTCATGTCTTAGGAATGGTAGCAATTCATGCAGACCCAGGATCAGTCTCCCACAGGGGAGGAGTGGACGTCAGGACCTAGGGAGTGTGGGGTTGGGGGTCATGCCCAGGCCTTTGTGGGGCTTGCTCCTGTGTCAGCAGGGCCCTGTGCTTGGCCTCTTTAAAACTGTTTCCTGATCCATAAAATGGGCACGACAAAATCCACCTTGTGACACTGTGAAGTTTAAATGAGATGATCTACATAGTGTCTTCCTTCCCTTCCTGACACGTCATAGACTCACAGCTATGGTGGCAATGACAGGCTGGATGGAATGCTGGAGCTGCTTTGTGCCTGATGAAGCCACATGGATTTGTGCAGTGCTATGACTATCTCTGAAAGCCTTTGGTCGTGGCAGTGGCAGCCTTGAGTGGCTCTTGGCATACTTCAGTCTGTGGAGTGCAAGGTTGGCTGGAGCTCTGAGGCCATTGATACTATCCAGGGGTGAGCTGATAGGACCCTAAAACATGGGGGAAGGCTGAGAGGACTTGGCTGCCAGAAGCACTGTAGATTTCTGGCTTCCAGAACTTGCTGACTTATGGACATAGGAAGGTAAACCCAGATGGCTTCAAAATTTTAAGTCAGGAGGAAAGGTGTGCGAGGGTAGAATTGCTGACTAGGTCATGGTTGCCATGTCCTTGTGGCCATCCTCTCTCCTCCCTACCCCTGCCTTTGTGGGTAGGAGGGCCTGAGCCTGCACAGCCGTCTATTTCATGGTGACGATGGCTGATTATTACCCTGCAGTAAGAAGTCTCTCCATTTTATTTTGCAGCAGTAGTTAAATAAATTTAAGGAGTGATGGTGTAGTGGTATTTGTTTTGTTTTTGCTTTTTTTTAAAAAAGAATATAAAACAAATGAGTATCATTTAACCGAATGTTATTCCCAATTTCACTGATCACTTTAAGAGGCCACACATGCTTTGGTTTGTTATTTTGCGTTTGAGTTTGAGCTAGTTCATTTTCTCACGGGAATGCCAATTCGTTATTCTGTTGTCACACATCATTATGTATCTCAAATTGTATTACTATAATACTTAGCTGAATTGCCTCCCTTGTTTTGGCTTTTACAAAACTCAAATCTGTGTTAAACACAGGATGGTGCATCTCCATTGAGGGTTGTTCAAAAGTGTGACTTTTCCTGGCATGCTTGAGAATCAATGACATTATTTTATAGAAACACTTTGTAGCTGACAGCAAAGCTAGAAGCTTCTGTAAAGGGCAGGGTAGGCAATGTGTTATGCCTTGTGGGCCACGGAAGTCTCTGCATATTCTTTTTCTTTTGTTAAAACTTTGAAGTGTAAAAATCACTTCTGGTTCCCTGGCCAAGGCTCGGGGATTGTGGTTTGCAGACCCTTGACCGCACCTTACCTGAAAGCTGATCTCCCATGCAGTGAGCAGGAGCCCACTTCATTGGTTCAGCCAGGAAGCCGCTGCCCTCATGCTGGAATTTACTTCAAACAAACTTTGAAAGCTCTGGCACAGCTGTTCATTTCCTCCTTGTTGCAGGCCATCTAAAATACGGAGCGTGCCTTGGCATTTTTGATTTTGTTACTCTTGAACGGCTCTGAGATGGCTCATTGCAGGTAGACATTTGCAGAAACGATCAGGCAGAGCCACAGCCATCTTGCAGATCAAGTGAAGGTTTTTTTTTTTTTTTTTTTTTTTTTTTTTTTTTGAGACGGAGTTTCCCTCTGTCGCCCAGGCTGGAGCGCAGTGGCGCGATCTCGACTCACTGCAAGCTCCGCCTCCCGGGTTCACGCCATTCTCCTGCCTCAGCCTCCCGAGTAGCTGGGACTACAGGCGCGTGCCACCATGCCTGGCTAATTTTTGTATTTTTAGTAGAGACGGGGTTTCACCGTGTCAGCCAGGATGGTCTCGATCTCCTGACCTCATGATCCGCCCGTCTCGGCCTCCCAAAGTGCTGGGATTACAGGCGTGAGCCACCGCGCCCGGCCTCAAGTGAAGTTTTTTCCGAAAGCTTGTTACAGGCTTAAATTTCTGATCCCTTTCCTTCTACTGATCTTGGATGATTCGTTTCTTTTTGCTCTCATTTGGGTCTATGAAACTTGTTGAACAGCGTCTCACCCCACGGTAGAACTCTAGCTCTGATTTCACGCATGAGTCGGTATCTTCACTCCTCATTTGCAAGGAGAAAGCACTGCAGGTCCTGTGTGGCTTCCATCCCCTCCCTGCACGGGGATTGATGTGAGAGGTGTTTGAGGTGTGTGAACTCGCTACCCCTGGAGCCTCCTGGTTCAGTCCCTGGGCCGCACTCC
Source organism: Homo sapiens (assembly GCF_000001405.40). Taxonomy (NCBI): domain Eukaryota; kingdom Metazoa; phylum Chordata; class Mammalia; order Primates; family Hominidae; genus Homo; species Homo sapiens. The sequence continues at coordinate 568,164 of NC_000010.11, read as the reverse complement.
TCCCTTTTGGGGGCTTGGTGGTTTCTGCTGTGCTTGTGCCAACACAACAAGGCTGAGTGGAGCTCCAGGGCTGTGACAGCTCACGCAGCTGTGGCATTAGTGCAGAGAACTGCGGGGATGCAGCTGCCCTTGCTGTGATGCTTCGAGTGTTGTAGTCGGTGTGGGAAGCTCGGTGGGACGTGGATGTCCTGGGATGGGATGGGAGCCTCCCCTCAGCCTCTATCAAACACTTCTCGGCCAGGCGCGATTGCTCACACCTATAATCCCAGTGCTTTGGGGAGCTGGGGTGGGTGGATCACCGGAGGTCAGGAGTTCGAGACCAGCTTGGCCAAAATGGTGAGACCCTGTCTCAACTAAAAATCAGCAGGGTGAGGTGGTGTACACCTATAGTCCCAGCTACTCTGGAGGCTGAGGCAGGAGGATCCCTTGATCCTGGGAGGCGGAGGCTGCAGTGAGCAGAGATCACACCACTGCATTCCAGCCTGGACAACAGCGAGACTGTCACAGAAAAACAAAACCAAACTTTTCTATGTCATGCTGACTGGTGCTCACGGCTTGTAAGCAGAGGAGAGAATGTTTGTTTGGCAGAAATATTCAGATGATTTAGGAAGTCTTTTCTGATTAAGAGAATCAACAGCCCAGTTAATTATCTGCTAACTTTCAGTTGTGTTGTGGCTGGGAGCAGGGGTGGCTGTTAAAACAGATGCCTGTCTTTGGGAGGCTGAGGTGGGTGGATCACGAGGTCAGGAGTTCGAGACCAGCCTGACCAACATGGTAAAACCCCATCTCTACTAAGAATAAAAAAATTAGCTGGGTGTGGTGGCATGCACCTGTTGTAATCCCAGCTATTCAGGAGGCTGAAGCAGGAGAATTGCTTGAATCTGGGAGGTAGAGGTTGCAGTGAGCTGAGATTGCACCACTGCACTCTGGTCTGGGCGACAGAGTGATATTGTGTCTTAAAAAAAACAAAACAAAACAAAAAACCCCCCAAAACCGGTGCCTGTCCTCCTTCCGCCGGAGTTGGATTTGATTTGGCAGCTCTGAGATGGGCCCTGGATACGTGTAATTCCAGATTCTCAGATGATGCTGATCTGGGTTTTGTGCAACCAAGTTGAGTCTTAACGTTTAGCTTCTTTCCAATTACAAAGAATTATTTTTCCCTTTCTGAATAGGTCAGTTCATCTCAAAGAGATTTGAGCCACCGGAACATCAGTTCTGAGATGGCTCCCTCAGCATTTGATGGTGTATGGAATGGGATTTCTCTCATCCAAGCCTTGGTTCAGAGGCAGTACGTGCTGTGGATGAGATGTCTCTGTGGCACGCTAGCTGTGCATCACAGCAGCCATAGACGCTGCTCCGCATGGTGCCTGTGAGCCAGGCTGTCTGTCCGATGGGCCTGACTTTGAGCAGTCGTGGGCCACGGCTGTACCCTGCTTGGGACCCTCAGAGGCACCGTTGTTGTCTTTGAGAACACCGCCTCCATGGCGAGAGACCCAAGAAATCTTGGCCAGGGGTTGCTATGAAGAAAGCCTGGGCTTCTGTGTGCTGGGGCTCATGGGCCCTCGCCTCTGGAGAGGGCAGGAAAAGGTGCTGACACCTGTCTCCTCAGCAGCAGCATCTGTGTTGCTATCTGAACGTGTAAGTGTCAAAGTCTAACTGAACTGTAAAAATATCAGTGTGCGGTGTGTCTGTGCTGTTTGTGGTGTGCTACTCGAGAGGAAAGGCAACTGTAACACTCCAGGGTTTGGTGGCGCCTCTGGTGGGTCAGCGGCTCATGCACCAGGTGAACCGGCAGCAGCAACACTGCTTCTGAGGAAGGCCTGGTGCGGTTACCCCGCGAGGGTCACGTGAAAAAGTATGTTGGTAAGATTCCTGGCCAGGCTTTTAATAAATGGTAACTACGATTACAGTTTAAAAAGGGGCAAAAAATTGTTTCTTCAGACACTCTTAATGGTAACTACGATTACAGTTTAAAAAGGGGCAAAAAATTGTTTCTTCAGACACTCTAAAATGTAAACTACTAAAGTCCTAAAATAAGGCATTGATTTTAGAAGTTTCTATTCTTAGAGCATGTCCCAGTGTTGAGATACGTGGTTTTTTTGTTTTGTTTTTTCTGGTGAGTTTGGAATCCGCCCCTCTCTGTCAGGGTTCTGACAGTGTCTGAATGCCGGCCTTTGCAGGAGTCCAAGGTGCTGCCTCCAGCAGGAGAGTGGGTGACGTGGATCTGAAACAGCAAATCAAAGCCGGGAGCCCACATGGCCCTGCCTGCTTCCCAACGTGTGAAGTGCTGGTCAGTGGTTTCCTTCCACCCTTGGACTCAGTTATTAGGCTGTTACATACCTCGGAGAAGGGCGCCAGCCTGAGAGGGTAACTCCTGCTTTAGTCTCCTTGCTGCGCTCGACTCCGTTACGCGACTGTAAGCACATATTTTTATGCTTGGGTTTTGGGCAACTGCAGGAGTTTGAAATTTAAGTGCATTTGATGATATACCTTTAAAAATGAAGCTTACATGTAGCAAACGGGAAACACACCATTTTACATCCTTATTCCTTTAGCATGTGTGAATTCCATGGTTTTAAATTCTAGGTGAAGTTGGGTTAGTAGTCTGTGGAAAATGCCTCTCTTACGATTGGAAAAACTGATTGTTCATCATATGCCTTGTTTAAAAAGAGCTAAGATGGAAAAAGGGATCTTCTGGGCTGACTGTAGTTGCTGACAGTTTCACTGCATGTGAGATGTGTGGTTTTGAAAGTTTGACTCTGCATTATGGGGTTGTGTGTGTTTGTCTAGGTCTTTTTTTTTTTTTTTTTAGAATGCAGGTACTGTTTCATATTTTTAGGAGTCACATGGTTTCCTCAGCTGAATTTAAACTTGTGGAAGGGCGGTACTCTTAAGGTTCTTAAATGCTGTGTATGTACAAATGCCAGCATGATGCTTTGTACAGAGAGGACATTCACGCTTAGTCTATTGATGGAATGGACGTGTTCTCTTGCCTGTGCTCACTCGAGGCCCTGATACTGACTAGGGGTGGTCCAGGCTCCATGGAAAGCTTCCTAACCAATTAGGGGAGTGATGGAACCGCCCTCTCCTACAGCACCTGGTTTGCCATTGAATAGAGGAAGGGAAATTGCTGGTAGCAAAGGGGACCAGAAAAGTGTTTACTCTTCATCTTCACCAGGTTTCCAGTAGATGTTAAACTCACTGAGTTCTAATGTGGTTTTGCTTGGATTTATTGTAAAGGTGATTGACAAACACAGAGAAGAAAGATTTCTACTGTGTGTGTGAGTCTTCTAGGAAGTCAGGTTGGGAACATATTTGTTGTTTTCCAGTTTCTGCTCACGTGTTATGTGTTTTTTTCTGAGATGGGAAGAGCACTGGGTGGAGGTGGCTGGTGTGTTCGGCCGAGTAGGCTGAGTTCTGTGCAGTGCCTGGTGTCTGCTGGACGCTATGCTGAATGCTTCGGGCATATTGGCTCATTGAGTCCTCACAGAAATCCGCTAAGGAGGGAACTTCTTTTACCTCATGTTAGAGATGAGGAAACAGAGGTCAAAAGGAGACAGGCAAAATGCCACAGAGTCCAGCGGCAGACCTGGGATCAGAACACAGTGCTCAGCTTCTGTGTGGACACCCTTAGCTCTGCTGCGCTTGGCCCTCAGCTACTGGCCAAGATGGAATAACAGGTACTAGACTTGCCCCTGTCCCTGGAGAAAATATGTGGAACAATGGTTCTTAAGGCTTTGGACGTCAGGCAGTGAAGGCCTGTGGGTGAGAAGGGGAGTGAGTGAGGCTGCCCCAAGGTGACGTCCAGGCTGGGGTGTGGGGAGGGTGATCTGTGGTTGAGGAGATGGAGCTGTGGGCTGGAGAGATCAAGGAGATGAGGATGGTTATGTCCAAGAGAGCCAGTGACGTTCACCCAGACGCTGCTGCCTCAACCACGTGCGGGGGTGGGGGGAACGTTCTCCCCCGAGGGCCTGCTAGTGAGTAATGAGAGGACCACCATGGACTCAGACACTTTATATTCTCACAGGGTCTGAGAATTTGCTCCCCTAAGTCTTTTTCTGTTCCATATTTTTTACCTGATTAGTTATGACACATCTTAGCAGATTCCACTTCAGGTTCTGTAGAATTAGTGTTTTCTCAGCTTTGAAATCTTCTCTCAAATAATTGATCCATTCAGATTATTCACAGACTTTAATTCTTCAGTTTCTTCAAATTCAGCATCGATTCCCTGAATGAGCGACCTCAGCAGTGTTGGGATTTTTGACACATTAAGAACTAAGGAAAATGACTCACACTCATTTGCCTTGCTTCTTAATTGACTATTGGTATAGCCCAGTAGTCTGAACTTGTTCTTGACTATTGGTATAGCCCAGTAGTCTGAACTTGTTAAGCAACCATTCTCACCGAAAGACTAATAATCTTTAAAAGTCTCTCTTCCTCTGGACGCATCTTTGGCTGCTGTAATCAAATGCAATGTAATCAGCACTGGTTAATGGCTTTCCTTGCTTTGCTAACAAATGCTCCTCAGAAACTTTGGTTTCTTTTTCATTTTCATTGTTGTGAAATTCTGCTATAATTATATTTTAAGCCTTCTGATTTTTCTAGCTTTCCTGCGAGTTGGAAATACTGTGATGGGTGCTTAGTTTGGGATGTTGACGTACACTGTATGCCTAGCTACTATGCCATTGCATGAATACTGATTTGTCACTTTCTCATGAAGACTCATTTCACCTAGTTTGGTAAATTCTACTAATTTTAAGGAAGGGGGTGGAATACAACTGCTGTTAGGAGGTTTTTTAAAGGATCGGGGAAATATTGCCATTATTATTACCACCATTACGGAAGGAACATAAAAATACGTGCTGCTTTCAGTCATTATGAATATGTAAGTCTGCATCTGTGACTGCAGAAAATGGCAGCCCCAAGCCTTAAAATCGTATGGATGCACCAAGCCCGCCTGCAGGGCACTGTGGAACAGTCTGCATTAGTCGAAGTTGGCCCACTAGCCCTGAGGGGGATGGTGTCTGATTTATGATAAGGCCCTGACTTCAGATTACAGGCCTCCAGATACTGTGATATTCTAAACAAAGACACAATACTGCCCAGAGAGCACTTGTAGGCAGTGTAGGTGAGAAAAGCCTTCAAGGAAGATTACTGCTGCTCAGCTAGGAGGATTCTGCAAGGCAGTAGACTTTATAAGGTTGCACACGTCAATGTTCACAGAAGAGTATTTAGCTATATTCATTCCTTTTAAGCAGCCAGGCTTGTGTGTATTTTTAGGGGCACTCACATGGCAGCTCTTCCACTGTCACTGCTGGTTGTGCACTGTTGTTTGATGTTATGGATTTCTGTGTTGAGTGTGTCCTCTCCAAATGTATCTGTCTCTAGAATATTTTAGAGTAGACCATTTATTGGTTAAATATATGAAAAGCTCTCTGAGGGAACAGAACACTTGTTTTCAGTGAGGAAGAAATCTTTAAAACTGGCCATGCAGACCCTGTTATAAATGTTTAGCAATGGAATGTTTAATGTTTAACACGTAATGTTTAAAGTAGAAATTTTAATTTAGAAATCCTGTTGGAATGCCAACTTAAATTACGACCATCCGTGTGCATATGGAAAAGAATGAGAGTGAATGTACAGAATTGGAATTTCGTCTATTTCGTAGAGATTCTGTAATGTATCAGGTACAAGTCTCACTTCATGATTCAAATGAAGGAGACTGAAATTATAAAAACTGACAAAAACATGCCTTTGAATAGTGAGCCATTATCCTCCTTGAAATAGTGATTCATTCACTAGAAGGTCCACCTGTAACTTTGTCAAACACATTTGTTGCATTAGTGCTCAAGTGAGCTCAATTTTCCAGACAGGGAAATTATTGCTGCTTAAAGTTTGTCCTGATGATGTTGGTGAACAGGGAAAATCCTTTGACGTGGATCCTCTGTGTGTGTTAAACATCAGATGCGGCCTGCCCAACCCTCTGCCTGTAACTGGGAACCTTAACTGTCAGGATCATTGTGGAGAACCTTGAGAAGGCAAAACAAAAAGCCTTTGGAGTAGCAAAAGATGTAGCTGATTTCATGCAGTAAAGCTTACACATTTTTCTTTAAAATGCATCCTTCGGAACGTCCGCTTGCTGATTATTTTAGAATCACTATAGTCTGGTGACAGCAGTTGTAGGAACAGGTGCACGGCCCGGCTGGTGCAGGAGGGTCTCAGCGGAGCCGCACTGCTGACACCGAAGGTGGGGCTAGAGCTGTCACGCGTGACTCGTGCAGATGGCCTTGGCTGACCTCCAGAAGAGGAATTGTCAGTATCTAAGGAGGAAAAAGTGTATTAATTTCATGAGTATTTGCCTTCACAATGGCGAAAACACTGAGTTTTGTGGCACCTGCTCTCTCTGGAATGAGGAGTCTTCCCTTCCTGGCAGACAAGCTCTAGACGGGACCAGGAGTTGTGTTGCTGGATTGAAGAGGTTTCCTTCCTGGGGAGGTGGCCTTCAAGCCTGACTTGAAGGAAGCTGTGACTGGCGGGAAAGGGCCTTGGAGACAGTGCGTTACCAGGAGGGTCAGTGGCTGAGAACCATCCTGTTCCGACTGTTCCCATTGTGGTTTTAGAGGAGTAAACTTGGGGAGAAGCAACAGCCAAAAGCCTTGAGGAACATTCTGTGATGTTGATCACGTTTGGTTGCGTTGTTGCTGAGACTCTCAAATGAGAGGCCCTGGAGGTGCAGGTCTCTCAGGCCTTGGGACATGGGAGAGCTGCTGCTTCAGGGGTTGGAGTCCCCATGCCAGTGGCTCTCAGTCTGCAGAGACTTCTCGTACAGTGGGCAATTGCTGCCTCCAATCCATTGTGAGTCCCCTTTAACCTGCCCCAAAATAAATACACATGAAAGGTACCATGTCAGCAAAGAGAATCAAACTCTGTAAGGTATTTAAAGAGATTTATTGTGAGCCAAATGAGTTACCATGGCCCACGATACAGCCCTCAGGAGATACTAAGAACCTATTCCCAAGGTGGTCAGAGCACAGCCTGGTTTTGTACCTTTTAGGGAGACATGAGACATCAATCAAATAAATGTAAGATGTACATTGGTTTGATCTGGAAACGCGGGGACAACTGGAAGCAGGGGTGTCCAGGTCATAGGTAGATTCAAAAATTTCCTGATTGACAGTTGGTTGAGAGAGTTGTACGATTAAGGGGTTGTGTGGAGACCAAGGCTTTGTCATGTGGAGGGATGCCTCCAGGTAGCTTTGAAGAGAATAGATTGTGAATGTTTCCCGTCAGGCTAAGAGTCTAAGTTCTGTCTAATTCCAGAAGGGAGGCGGGGTGATAAGGCAAGTCCCACCCCCCACCGATCATGGCCTGGACTAGTTTTTCAGGTTAGCTTTGGAATGCCCTTGCCAAGAGTAGGGGCTGTTGAGATGGCCAGGGGGGCCTAGAATTTTAATGCTTTTACAACCAGAAAGTGATTACGTTGTTTCTGTGGATGATAGCCCGTGTGGTAATTAATATTTTATTAGCAGATTAATTTGAAAGTCAATGTGTTTTCAAGTATGTTAATTATTAAGTTATCAGCAAACAGAAAGCTTACTTTGAAACCAGCCTGAGAATCAAGAGGCCTATCAAAACAATGGACTTGGGAGAACTGATTCACGTGTTCACTGCCGCGAGTTTCAGGCATTATGAGAAGTCTGTGTGCTGATACATTAAGTGACTCGAGAACTTAAATCCTGATGGACTCCTACTTAACAGTGACACTTTTTTCTTTTTTTTTTTAAATGGTTGTGTTTAGCTTGTCTCTTGTGTTGTGCAGCTTTTGTCTTCCAGCCGCTGAGCACTTTAGCTTTGTGTTCACATGGCCTCATTCTCCGAACCTCCCCTCTTTGTGACTCCTCCATCCTGTCCACCTTGATCGCGTGTCTTCTCCACCCCTGTGGGTTTTATCCCGAGGACTGCTCTCTGCTGTGCGTGGAGGGATGATCAGTGGACACTGGCTTTATTGACTCATTTTACACCTAGCTCCCAGTTTCTAAAATCATGATTGTCTTGGTTTCCCTGTGAAACTGGGAGTCAGGCCTTGGGCGCAGTGCTGGGTGTCTGTGACAGGGCAGGAGGGAGAGGTGAGAACCGGAGGGGGTGGGGAGAGAGGTGAGAACTGGATCGGGGGGAGAGGAGAACAGGAGTGGGGGGGAGAGGTGAGAACCGGAGCAATGAGTTCATCAAGGGGAAGGAACACCTCCCTGAATTCCTGTGTCTGTTTTAGGTTAAAGACGAATGGCCAGGTGGGTGGATGTCTCACCCGGTGTGGCTGGACCGTGCTGTGCTGAACCCTGAGCAGGGGCCCCAGCAGTGGCCTCCTGCCAGGCCGGGGCCATGGGGCTCCGGGGCTGGGCTTCCTCCTCTGGGGTGGGTTGTGAGGGCTTGTGCATGGTGCAAGAGTCTGCACAGCTGCTGTGTGACCCTGAGGGGCATGTGGGTAGCTGGTCTGTACTCCTTACCTGGAAGAACCTGAGCTCATCTGGGCCAGAGCCTTTGGGGAGGTAGGAAGGCAGAGACCTGGAATTCCTGCTTTCTCCAGACACCAAGAAAGCCCAGTGTTGCATCTGCTCTGAGGTGCTGTCAGCAGCCATATATAGTTGTTGATTTTAACATGAGGGAAGGTGCCGATTAACCCAGGTCTGTGGGGAGCTTTGAGGAGTCCAGGCCCTGGGCTTTTAAATATGTTCCTTCCTCAACAAAAACAACAAAAGACCCCTGTGGCTGATGCCGACTGTGTGTGGGGTAGGACACACCGAGCTTGTGTGGGGCTTCCCCCGGCGTTCCCCCGGCGTTCCCCACCGCCCCCATGGACACCAGCTGTTCCAGGCCGAGGCTTGTCCTGGTTAGACCCTCGTCGTGGGGTCTGTGGTCCCGGATCGAGGGCCCAAGCACTTCTCTCATTATTAAAGTGATTCACCTGAGATGTACAGCTGCCTCCAAAGGGTCTCATGAGCATATGAGATACAGCCAGTGCTGCTGCCCCAAGCTCATAATTCTAGTGGAAAGGAGAAATTTTACTTTTAATGTGCTTGTGTGACTCAGATGCAAATATTCAACTCCCGTTAAACTTGCAAGACCTTGAAAACCTCTGAGATTCCTTGGAAACCACTCCTTGGCCCCACGACCTAACTCACCTGTGGAGGGGGTGGGGTGGTCTGCCGGGGGAGGGGTTGGGCTGTCGGTGGGGGAGGGGTCGGGTGGTCCGTGGTGTCTGGGGTCCTGCTGTGTTCTCCAAGTCTCCTTCTATTTCATCATTAGCCCCAGCTCTTCAGTGGGAGAGCAGATTCACTGACATTGCCATTATTTTGTTCCTGTGTTGCCTCTGTTAACTTAAAATAATCAATATTTACCAGAAATAATTGATGGCGAGATGGGAATTATTGGTGATTCCCTGACATAGGCGGCCTGTATAGATAAGCATGTTACAGTGTCTGATTTCCGAGATGTTGGTCCACACCTTCTCAGAAACACACTTTCAGGCTTAGATTCCTGTGCAGGAGAAGCTGCCTTTCCCCGAGACGCGATGGTGGGCCCCCGCACTGGCATGGCAGGGTGGTTGTGTGACTGGGCTGGGCTGGACGTGCTCCTGTCCCCCTGCGCTGGGCGCCCGCCTCCACCCCCCGTATCTACATCGAGGGTGCCTGCCTTTGTTCCCCCAGCTCGTGGTGATACAACTGCACCTTCCTTTACGCATTTCTGAATAGAGATGATTAGGTCTGGGGGTCGAATCTCAATCCGTGAGATGCATCCAGGTAAATTATTCACACACATGACTCGAGTCCTCCCATCCTGGTTCAGGGTCAGGAAGCGGGAGGTGGGTTTGGAGACAGCTGTGTGGCCTCAGGAAGGTTCTCTCAGAACCTGTTTCTTTCTCTAGCAAAGTAAGGATTCCTACCTCACTGGGCTTGACGCATGCTCAGTACTCAGATGCTGTCTAGTCTTTATCATAGTTAGTATTTGGGGAACAGCGTGGCTGGTAAGACAATGCGTTATCTTTCCAATTTATAGAATGTCATATGAGGCAAGCGTGAAACCAGGACACTACCCTAATCTGAAGATGCTGTTGCTTACTCTTCTTAAGCATTTTATTATAATTCTGTCATGTGTCCGCCCTGTCATGTGACGGCACCCTGTGAGGTTGCCAGGGAGCATCCCTCCTGCCTCCAGCCCTCCAGGGTTTCGCCCTCTGGGGTTTCCCCCTTCCCCGCCCCCTTCCCCGCCTGCCCCTGCCCCCTCCCCCTGCCTGCCTGCCTGCCCCTGCCCCCTCCCCCTTCCTGCCTGCCTGCCTGCCTTCCTGCCCCCTCCCCCTGCCTGCCTGCCTGCCCCTGCCCCCGCCCCCTCCCCGCCCATCCTCCCCCTCCCCCTTCCCACCCATCCTCTCCCCCTTCCCCTCCCCTGCCCTGCCCATCCCCTCCCCCGCCCCCACCCCCACCCCCACCCCCACCCCCACATGTGTATGTGCCTGTGCACTCACCACCCTGTATTGGGTCATATGTTGCATTTTACAGATTGTTGTTTTTCACTTGGTATTGTGAGCTTGTAACGACTTTGTGAAGAAAAGGGGGTCCTGGCAGCCTTTGGCTTTGAGAAACGTGATGTCGTGGGAACAGATGAGACAGCCCAGGTGAGGCCAGCAGAGGCCATCATGGCCTGGGAGCCTGTCTGCATCCACTGTCTGTTGCTGTGTGACAAGTGACTCCAAAACCTAGTGGCTTAAGGCAACACACACGTATGACTGTACAGCTTCTACAGGTTGCAAATTTAGGGCAGCTCTGCTGAGTGGTTCTGGCCCTGTCCCCCTGAGTCACGGTGAAGATTCTGTCCAGGGCTGTGGCTATCTGTAGGTTCAGCTGGGCTGGAGGTTCTGCTCCAGGATGCTGTGCTGACGTGTCTGCTGGCGGAGGCCTGGTCCTCCACACCGGTCCCTCTGTGGGGCTGCCAGGCACATCCCTGCCCAGGGCTGCTCCTTTCTGCAGAGACATAGGAGTGCTGGTCTTACGCCCAGTGTCAAGGTGGCCGGTCTCCTGGCCGTGTCCCGTGGGCCACACTGACCAGCTTTGAGCTCTGCAGGAGGGAGCACACAGCCGTGTGGGACCATCGAGGGCTGGCTCCTGGGCCATCTGAGAAGCCCTGGCTGTTGTCTTAAAGCTGAGGAAAATGGCAGAATCTGGCTGTGAGCTGGAGAGAGAGAGGAGAGAGTGCATGTAGGTTTGATGGGCTGTGAAGGTCAGGACAGGGCTACGAAGGACTCAGGTGCACAGATCCCTTCCAGGGTCGGGGCTCACAGCATGTTCCTCTCTGTGACTCAAGGCACACACTTGTTTAGGGTGGTTTTCTGTCTTTCGCTTGATGCATCAAGAAAAAACGTTGTTTTCAATGTGGTAGGTGTTGGGGGTGAGTCTGGGGCTGTTGATTCCAGCAGAATATCCTGAAATGGAAGTGTGGACAGGATGCAGGGCCAGGCCCCAGTGGGCAGGGTGGCAACATTGTGGAGGGAAAGGGGTTTGTTTCATGTGTCTATAGCAGATGGTGACACGTTGGAGTGACTGGGTCTGTGAGGGAGGAGCTGTGTTCAGTCTAAGGCTGTTGAGTTTGCTGAGGAACCTCCAAAATGTCCTGGTAGAGTCAGGTGGCCGCTGCCAGGGCGTGTGGATCCCCCTCTTGGGAAGGTGTGGGTGGCTGCGTGATGACACTCTGAGGTCCGAGTGTCAGAGATGGTGGTGTGCGCAGCGGGGCCCAGGACAAGCCTGGGATCCGGCTGTGGGAGGGGTGGGTGGGTGCCGTCCTGGGATCCGGCTGTGGGAGGGGGTGGGTGGGTGCCGTCCTGGGATCCGGCTGTGGGAGGGGTGGGTGCCGTCCTGGGATCCGGCTGTGGGAGGGGTGGGTGGGTGCCGTCCTGGGATCCGGCTGTGGGAGGGGTGGGTGGGTGCTGTCCTGGGATCCGGCTGTGGGAGGGGTGGGTGCCGTCCTCGGATCCGGCTGTGGAAGGGGGTGGGTGGTTGCTGTCCGGGGATCCGGCTATGGAAGGGGGGGTGGGTGGGTGCTGTCCTGGGATCCGATTGTGGGAGAGGTGGGTGCTGTGAGGGAGTCTGCTGCGACTGGACTGTAACAGGATTTCCTTGAGAATTTGAGGTGTGTTGGGGGCAGGGTCAGGAGCAAAGGCTTGTTTCCCCTACTCAGCGGCTGCTGCTGCAGGGCCGGGCAACAGTGGAGGTCATGCAGGAAGGGTGTTCGCTGAAGACCGTGTTCTGTGACTTGAAGATGGGTGTTCCTCCCGTGGGGGTGGAACGGAGACTGGACGCCGTGTGGCTTGAGAGTGGCATCCTGCGTGACCTTGCGTGTAGTGGGCTTACAGCAGAGCTAGTCCTTCCTCTATAGATTCTTTTCATAGTTTGCCTGCCTTTAGATTCTCTGATTAACGCATCTGAGGTGGGTCCCAGGAGTCTGCCACCTGCCAGGCCAGGAGGTTCCCCTCACGTGGCTGGTCCCCAGATACCCTGAGAGACACGGCTCAACAGGATCACCTGAGTTTCCTAAATATGAGTCACCTGCCTTCTCTTCTGTTTGCTTTCATGCCTCCCCCAGGGTGGGCCAGTCCTGTCAGCCACAGAGATACCCGCATGCTGGGGTTCCAAGGAGATTGGGGGTGTGCCTGGTCACCCAGGGAGATTCGGCGACTGAGGATGCTCTGTCATAGTAGCCAGCGTGTCCTTACTCTTTCACCGTTAATGAAGTTCGGTTATTAGGTTTTCCGACGCACGATGTTGTCCTTATGAAAAATTGGTGATGAAGGAAGCAAACGTGTGGGAAAATGATCCTGCCCTTAAAACTGAAAAACAATAAAACAGCAAAGAGCCCAGAAGAGCCCGTGAACCTCCTCATGGGGCAGTGAGGAGAGACCTCAGTAATGGCTTGGGAAAAAAAAAAAATAATACTGAAGAAAACATAAACTAAATTTTGGGTCTCATATGGGTAAAGAGATTGTGGTTTACATTTTATAGGCATGCATTTTTACACTTATTTTTCTTTGTTGGAATTAGAATTAGTTGTGATAAACATGATTTTTTTTAAATGAAAAAATTACTTGGGGTCAGTATATGAAGTCTAATCCCTTTGTGATATTTCTGTACTGTGAGACTCCATATACAAAAGTGAAGCCCAGACTCTGTCTCTGACGAACCAGAGAGAAGTGGTCATCTCCTGCAGGCCAGTCTGGCCTCCAAGTGTCTGTCTATCCTCTGTCTCGGGCACACCTGCATCACTGGTGCTTCCTGCCAGGCTGTGACTCTGTGCCCAGGTTTCAGGAGCACCTGGAAGTTTTCCTGATGCCTTTTGATGAAGGACTCACTCCCCACTGCCAGGCAACTCGGTGATTGCTCCCCAGGCTGTATTTCTCACATGGGGTGCAGAATCTGTGCGCGGTGTCCTGGCCCTGGAGCCAGTTCTAGGACTCCACGGCAGCCTTGCCTCTGCCCCTCATCTGGGAACAGGGCAGTGGGGAGGAGAAGGGAACCGGGGTCTTGCCCCTTCTGTGTCTCAAGAACACGGGAACACATGGTCCCACTTCCTCGCACCATTCACAGCCCAAGGTTTTGTGAAGTATTTAAGTTATTTTATAACTTATAACCACCCTTGACAGTGATGTATTTTATATAAGCAGCACATAGAAAGTGGTAATTTAATACCTTATCAAGCAAGATCTAAACAATAAGGATCAGATATCACTGTAGAAAAGGTTACTTTCTCCAGGAAACATTTATCCACTGCAGATGGAAATGAATCACTGCTTCCTCCTTGGCTGCTTCTGATGAGCCTGTGAAATTCTGTCCTGTTCACCACTCTTACAGTTACAAGCATATACTTTTTCTCCTATGATGTATATTTCCTGCCTGTTCGCCACTGTTAGTTACAAGCTATACCTTTTCTCCTGTGATGTATATTTCTTGCTTGTTCACCACTCTTAGTTACAAGCTGTACCTTTTCTCCTAAGATGTATATTTCCTGCCTGTTCGCCACTGTTAGTTACAAGCTATACCTTTTCTCCTATGATGTATATTTCTTGCCTGTTCGCCACTCTTACAGTTACAAGCTGTACGTTTTTTCCTATGAGGTATATTTCTTGCCTGTTCGCCACTCTTACAGTTACAAGCGTATACGTTTTTTCTATGAGGTATCATTTCTTGCCTGTTCACCACTGTTACAGTTACAAGCGTATACCTTTTTTCTATGAGGTATATTTCTTGCCTGTTCACTGTTAGTTACAAGCGTATACGTTTTTTCCTATGAGGTATATTTCTTGCCTGTTCGCCACTCTTACAGTTACAAGCGGTATACCTTTTCTCCTATGAGGTATATTTCTTGCCTGTTTGCCGCTGTTACAGTTACAAGCTATACCTTTTCTCCTATGATGTATATTTCTTGCTTGTTCGCCACTCTTAAAGTTACAAGCTATATACCTTTTCTTCTATGATGTATGTTTCTTGAAGGCATGGACTAAATCCTAATTCCACAGTATTCAATGCACATACTCAAGAGATACTTGTTTGAATGATTGGGTTAATGGAAAATAGAAGTGGTGACTTAACTTTCAGTTCATTATGCCAAACTTCAAGTGTTTACACGCAAAATTTTATGGTCCTTTGGATAAACTGGGCTTCTGTGCAGGGTGGTTAGAGATTGTGGGAGTGCAGCAAATGGCTCTGTGGCTCTAGGCTCACGAAGGGCTTGAGGGACTTAGTGGCGGCACCTGTGTTGAAAACTCAATTCTGCAAATCCTTCTTGAGTGACCAGGCGCCACACACGCAGCCCTGCTTCCCAGCTGATTTCTGCAGAGGCTTTTTCTGAATGCCCCAGGTGAACATGAATTCAGCCAGCACTGCTGGGCTTGCACAGCAAGCCAGGTGCAGGGACGAGGGAGAAGAGGGGCAGGACCCAGCTCTTCCTGGGCCCCAGTGCCCATGTGGGGATGCTGCCTGGCCTGGCTCTTCTTAGGGAGGTCAGGAAAACAGTGGCATGGAGGGTCTGTTGGCACGAGCCTCTTGGTGAAACATGGATCCCAGGTCTGTGTGGGAGGCAAAATAGAAATTTATGTGGATATCCTCAGTAAAATAGGAAATACTGGCTTCTTCCCTAGGGTGGCTGATCCCCTCCCTCATCTGCTGAGCAAAGGCTCGGCCTTCTGGGCCTCCACAATGAGCTTTTCCCAAGCTCTGTCCACTCCGTGGAGATGGCGGGAGCCAGGGCAGACATGGGGTGTTCGTCACTTTTTTTTGAGATGGAGTCTTGCTCTGGCGCCCAGGCTGGAGTGCAGTGACATGATTTTGGCTCAGTGCAAGCTCCGCCTCCCCGGTTCACACTGTTCTCCTGCCTCAGCCTCCCGAGTAGCTGGAATTACAGGTGCCACCACCACACCTGGCTAATTTTTTGTATTTTTACTAGAGACGGGGTTTCACCGTGTTAGCCAGGATGGTCTAGATCTCCTGACCTCGTGATCCGCCCGCCTCGGCCTCCCAAAGTGCTGGGATTACAGGCGTGAACCACTGCACCCGGCCAGGTGTTTGTCACTTTTTGAAAGCTACATTTGAGGAATGAAATAGACTGAACAGAATTACTTATTTTTGAATATTTAATACTTAGTCTATGAGAACACTTAAATATAGTTAATGTATTCGAATAATAAGGAAGAAATTTCCCTCTCTGTTTCCAAAGCAAAAGTATAAACAACCTTTTACTTGGCAGGGACTTCACTCTGTTTCTAAAAAGCCAGCAAGCACCGTTCCTGAAATAGACCGATCTGTTCCTCTGCATAGACCCTATTAACATTTTAGCTACATCTCTGCTGTATCTTGATATGATAGATTATAGAAAATGTCTTGCTACTGGAACTTCACGATGCTTTCCTTTTAAACATCAGGTAGAAAGTATGGATAGTAAATCTCAGATTAGTTGCCATTCTTGGTCTTGGTAGAGCTGCCATCGACAGCCTCCGTCAGTTACAACAGAGTGTGTCTCTCCAGCAACCCAGCTTAGATTGCAGACTGAGTCTGGCTCACCCAGGATTCAGTGCAACGTCTTCCGAAGCTGTAGCCACCACTCTCAGAAGAGACTTGAGAAGCCCTCCCTTTGATGCCTGCATGTGGCTGTTCTCAGATCACAACAGCTATAGCAGCGTCTCAGAGGATGCTGGCAGGGGTGTCCTGGGTGTGACACCACGGCAGGGGCCTGCAGCATCTGAACGAAATGGGCCGTGACATTGAGCGGCCTAGGGGAGTCCACAGCCGCATTTCAAAGGTGCAGTGGCCCGAGGTTGAACCCCAGAGCCTGGCTCTGAGGAGCCTGGAGTTGACCTGTCACAACTCCATTGAGAGAGCTGGCTGAATTCTGTACCTGTGTGGGCAAGATGGCTGTGTTTGCTCTTGGACCCTTCCCAAGCCAGGGCTAGGGAGATTGTCTGCACAGCTAGTGGGAGCTTGACTGTTCACACTCGGGGCTGAGTCCCTCACCTTTCTCTGAGCCCAGGGAAGATGGACATGCTGCTGTGACACAGCCAGCCTGGCAGGAGGGAAGGCACTTGTGGGTTTGTGCACCGAGGCCTCCTTCCTCTTGAGCCAGGAAGGGCTTTTGGGATCCTGCTTCCAGCTGCTTTCCCTTGCTAGGTTATTGGCCTCGGGGGCCAGGAGAAGCCGAGTGCAGACCTGCAGCCTGGACCCCTTCCACAGCCTCCGTGGCACCTGTGGTAAGCGGGACGTGGCCTTTGGAACTCCAAGCCCTACCCTGGCATGCCTGCCCCTTGGGGTGTCTCAGGCACCTGCTGTATGCCAGGCTCCATGGCGGGGTGGGCGGCAGCCAGGGCTGTGGGGAGGAGGGGGCATGGTACGTGGACGATGTTGAGAAGCATCAGGGAGGCGCTTGAGGCAGTGTCAGCAGAGCCGAGACCTGCAAGGAGGGGACTGGCTGTGGGTGTTGGAGCTCAGAGGCTGCCTCTACCAGAGCCACAGTGTCTAGTGAGGGCAGAGGGAGGACCGAGGCCCGGGGAAGCCGTGTGCATGGTTTGCATCAGGTATGTACCAGAGCCACAGTGTCCAGTGAGGGCAGAGGGGGAAATCGAGGCCCGGGGAAGCCGTGTGCACAGTTCGCATCAGGTATGTACCAGAGCCACAGTGTCCAGTGAGGGCAGAGGGGAGACCGAGGCCCGGGGAAGCCATGTGCACGGTTCGCATCGGGTGTGCAGGCCTGACTGGCTGTGCTGACCTTCTCAGTCCCGGCCAGGCCTGGGGTCCCAGAGGGAATGGAGCATCCCTCTTCTTGCTTCCCTGTTGCTTCCTGGTCAAGGGATGCTTGTTTATTGCAACTCTGGCAATTATTCTGAATATTAAGAGGAGTTTCACAAAATCGTAGGGGGAGAGGGGCTAGGGATTCATTTTTTTTTCTCCACCTGATTTTACAGGAGGCTTCTGCCATCCCTTAGTGTGAAGGCAGAGTGCAGACGCTCTGCGGTTATTTGTCCAGGAGGAGAAGAGCTTCTGGGAGGTCACAGATCTGATTGTTGTAATAGCACTGACATTTTTAAATGGGAGAATGTTGATATCTATAGTAAACAGAGTAAAACTTCAGTAGCTTCAATATAAAGATGCCGAGATGATCTTAGAGCCACTTTGTCCATAGATCCTTCTGCGGTGTGGAACTGCAGCGTCTCTCTACCAGCCTCTGTGGTCAGTGGCCACCTGTGGGTAATTGAATGCTTGAAGTGCAAATGAGAAACTGATACTTCTAATTTTATTTAATTTTAGACAAATTTAAATAGCTACATGGGCCGGGCACTGTGGCTCATACCTGTATTCCCAGCAGTTTGGGAGGTCAAGGCGGGTGGATCACGTGAGGTCAGGAGTTCGAGACCAGCCTGGCCAACATGGTGAAATCCTGTCTCTACTAAAAGTACAAAAATTAGCTGGGCATGGTGACAGGCACCTGTAATCCCAGCTACTCAGGATGCCAAGGCAGGAGAATTACTTGAACCCGAGAGGCAGAGATTGCAGCAAGCTGAGATTGTGATACTGCACTCCAGCCTGGGCGACAGAGGGAGACTGTCTTAAGAGAAAAAAAAAAAAAAAAAAGCTACACGTCCCTTGTTGCTTCTGTAGGACACCGCATGGTTCCAGAAGGTAGACCTTGTGTTGGGGACTCTGCATTGTCAGGCTGGAGACACAGTCTCCCTTCCTAGCAGTGTGGGCCCCTGGGCTGCCCTTCTACCAGAAGGGATGGTGGTGTCTCTAGAGGTATCTGTGGACTCAGATCTATGTGAATTAGTGACTAGTGTTACTCACAGATACTTAATTTTATGGGTAAATAAATACCTGGACTTGCTGCGAGCTTTCAGGGCAAGAATCGGGAGTAGGGAGTGAAAAGTGACGAGGGCACCCATGGCTTGTCCCGCTGCCTCCAGCACCTGGTCGGGGGGGGCCCTCCGCTCTGAAGCCCCCGGCACCTGGTCGGGGGCACCCCTCCCCTCTGAAGCCACCAGACCCTCCTGGCCTGTGGTGCTGCTTCTCCAAATGCCGCCCTTGGCTGTTTCCCAGGAGTCACTGGCGCCCAAGCAGGCTGTATGGGTCACTTCTGCGTGGTTTTGGGGTGTTGGTGAAGCTCATTGGTCTCGTCTTCCTTCTCATGTGCCACATCTCACCTGTTGGCTTGTGGATGGGCCCGAGTCCGTGTGTGGACGCGTTGTATCTTCTCAGGCTGTACTTGGTGCTTAGGTGACAAGGACGTCTTAGAGCAATGGACTGTCTGCTCCAAAGGGTGCTGTGTGTTAATTGAGACATAGCTTACTTGTGGGGTTTAAATTTCCTGGGTGTTGGAGGCAATTGGGGAAAAAAGGTCTAAAAAGGCCCCTGGGGATGAGGGAAGCAATAATGAAAAAGTAACTTTATCGCACTTAGCAGTTGATTGAATTTGAACGTGAATTTTGCATTTTGGGGACTCTTAAAGCTACTATTTGTAGGGATTCCTTGATGAGCTGCTTGTTTTCTGTCAAGTAGAAAGTAAAGTGGATCGGTTTTGCCTTTAATTCTGACTAACTAGAATCTACTTGGCTTTTTCCCCCATTCACGTTAGGGTGGGGGATTGGACTAGAAGAGCTGTAGGATCTTTATTTCTGATCTTAAATGAATTTTTTCTTTACTCACTTTTTTTTTTTTTTTTTTTTTTTTTTTGTGAGCTGCTATTTTTTCCTGCAATGCACTGTTCTTTGGTTTGGGAAATGTGCTATATTTGTACCGTGCTTTAAACATACACAATGGTTCTAAATAACTACTTTTCTTTAAAGTTAGATGTAACATCTTAATTAAAATGTCATCCATAAATCAGGCACAGTCTGTGAGGTTGTGCGAGCGTGAAAGCTCCACAGTCTGAGGCCTGGAGACCCCTCTTGTCGCTTCCCTCCAGCCATGTCTCCTCCCCCGGCCACATCACCTCTGGCCACATCTCCTCCCCCCACCACACCATGTCACCCCCATAACCCTTGCCACGTCACCTCTGGCCACATCACCTCCCTCCCGGCCACATCACCTCTGTCCTCGCTGCCTGCCTGCCTGCCTGCCTGCCTCCCTCCCTCCCTCCTGGCCACATCACCTCTGGCCTCACTGCCTGCCTGCCTGCCTCCCTCCCTCCCTCCCTCCCTCCATCCCGGTGGCCTCCGCGGCTCCTGCTGACTGCCCTCCCGAGGGGCTGTTCGATGCTCTTTTCCCGTCTTCTGCTCCTGAGTGGGTCTCGGGGCTGGATGTTTCACAGGATGCAAGTTTCTTCCCTTCCAGCCGTAGGTCTCTGGGCGACAACTCCAGAGAGGGCACCAAGCTCTCCTTACCCACCTGGGGGCCCTGAGCCCTGACCACCAGGGCTTTCCTGTGGGGGGGGGGGTGGGGCAGACTCGTGTGAATTGGACTGAAAAGGTGCTTCCAGGAATCCTTGTTTTAGGTGCACTGGGGCAGAGGTGGGGACAGGGGACCACCACACCACCTGGTTTGCTCAGAATTTGGTCCTGATCACAGCCAATGAGGCAACACAAGCACCTCCTAAATGAAGCATTGCAGACTGCTTTTACATGTGACAGTTGTGATGGCTGAAAAAGGCTTCACACAATGAGTGGGTTTGAGCTGCATTTGAAGGCAGAACAGGTCCCTGCAGGTGGAAATGAGAGATAAGGGTGACCCAAGCCATCAGCAGCTGCGGGTGGGGTGGTGTGGGCTCCCCAGGGATGGTGGGCATGGATGAAATGCAGGAGAGGGCAGGGGTGCGATGGAACAGCAGGGCAGCGTTAAAATCCCCCTGCAGAGAGGGGACGTGACTGAGATTTTATCACATGTATAAACTGAGAGATGATTTGAGGATGATTTCTGGGAGCCTGTGGGAAAAGCACGTGGTCATCATCAGTTCTCTGGATCTCTGAAAAGTCATGCCTCTGCCTATCTTGTGAGCTATTGTGAAGATCAAATCGGATAATCTTCAGCAAGCCTTGTAAATGCTAAAGCTCATGACAGAGACTGTTCCAGCCCCTTTTTCTCCACCCTCCCTTCCTCCTGGATAATGTGAACCCTGCTGGGTACCTCACTGTCTGCCTGCTTTCCTCCTCTGTAACATGAGGCCTGAGTATTTGCTGGGTACTTCGCTGTCAACCTTCCTTCCTTCTCAGTGATGTGAGCCCTGAGTATTTGCTGGGTACCTCACTGCCTGCCTCACAGCTGGCTGTGGCCCTGTTACACACACTTGGCTGGCACATAAGCAGAAGTGCTCGCTGGGCCTGGGAGGGCTTTCTGATGTGTGGGTGCATGCTTCTCCCTGTAGGCTGGAGCTGCAGGAGCCCTCCTGGATCAGAGGACCAAGGCTGTGGCCTCGCGATGGGGGCTGGGGGAGCTCCCTGGGTTTATTGTGTGGGTGAGAGCAAACTTCAGTCCCGCTGCAGCACCGGGATTCCGGGTTCCCTCTGGAATGTTCTGAATGAGAAACAGGAAGTATGCAGAGGTGCGTCTTCCGAGGATTTGATGGTTATCTTAGCTCAGAGGCACCAAGTGCTCTCCCATGAACCTGCAGAACCGCTTCTTCCACTAATGGCCTTCTTTATCTAAAGAATGACTTACAAACTCTGCCACTTAAGAGATAGGTATTTGCAGGTGTGGCCTGAAAAATGAACAAATTGATTCTTTCATCTCAAGGAAAATACCTTACGTTATTCCCAATGATAGCCATTGGAGCTTTCCAGTGAATATTAAAATATACAAATCTTGTGTCTGCCACTTTCTCATGTGATCAGTGGTGATATTGATGTGATTTTTTTTTTTGACATAATGAAATGTGGAAGCTGCTCATAACTCTGAACCAGTGTTTTCTAACCAGTTACAAAATCGTGTGCTGGTAAAAGAGCCACTCAAGTGCAGGACAGACCAGTCCGCTTAAAAGGAATTGGGGCAGAAAGGCCCGTCGACCAGGGTCCAGACTCTGCGTTGCAGACAGCCTGCATGGAAGTGCCGCTTGTGACATTTGGCAGCAGAGAATACCTAAAACTATGTGAAAGCACAGTGAAAAATACTTCTTCCTAACTGTATATAGCATGGGATCAGACATTTTTCATAAACTTCAACCAGAGTTCTGCAGCCCACTGAACGCAGATGGAGGCATGAGAACCCTGCTGTCCGAGGTGCAGAGAGGCGTTAGGTGTTCTCACAGCAGCACAAACTGTTGCCACACTGCTGCTTATTTTGGAAAATGGTTTTTTCTTTAAGACTGTGCTGTTTATTAACATGTAATGACTTTATTATTTTAAAATAAATTTGTTACTTTTTTTTTTTTTTTTTAAGAGTCTTGCTCTGTCACCCAGGCTGGAGTGTAGTGGCGTGACCTCGGCTCACTTCAACCTCTGCTTCCCGGGTTCAAGTGATTCTCCTGCCTCAGCCTCCCAGGTAGCTGGGACTACAGGCACCCACCACCAAGCCCGGATAATTTTTATTATTTTAGTAGAGATGGGGTTTCACCATGTTGGTCAGGCCGGTCTGGAACTCCTGACTTCAAGTGACCCATCTGCCTTGGCCTCCCAAAGTGCTGGGTGGGATTACAGGCATAAGCCCACCATGCCCGGCCTCATGAGAAAGCTTTTTGTGATCTTTAATAAACTGTAAAGGGTTCCTGAGACCCAAAAGTTTGAAAACCACCGGCTTAAACCGACAACAAATTGTCCATGATTCTTCAGTGTACCTTCTAATCTGTTGATGGAGAAAGGTTGTAAGGGGTTGCTTTACTTTTTTCCTTTCGCAACTTAGTGGTGCTGGGACAACTGGATATCCACATGGAAAAGGATGGACTGCACCCTCCCTCACCCTACACAAAAAAATAGCTCAAAATGGATCCAGTGTAAGAGTCGATACTGTGAGACCCATTTTGTCAGTCTGCTGGGTACCGTAACAGACACCGCAGACTGTGAGGCTTAAACAGCATCTTATTTCCTTTGTTCTGGAGGCTGGAAGCCTGGGGTCAAGGTGCAGGCAGGGTTCGATCCTCCGGGTCCTCACCCCATTCTGTGTAGACGGCGTCTTCTCTGTGTCCTCATGGGTTTCTCTTATGTGTGTGCAGCACTGAGGACTCTGTGTGTCTAAATTCTCTATTATAAGAACACCAGTCATGGCTGGGCGTGGTGGCTCACACCTGTAATCCCAGCATTTTGGGAGGCCGAGGTGGGTGGATCACCTGAGGTCAGGAGTTACAGATCAGCAGTGAAACCTCATCTCTACTAAAACTACAAAAATTACCTGGGCGTTGTGGCAGGTGCCTGTAGTCCCAGCTGCCCAGGAGGCTGAGGCAGGAGAATTGCTTGAACCTGGGAGGCGGAGGTTGCAGTGAGCTGAGGTCATGCCACTACACTCCAGCCTGGACAGAGAGAGTGAAACTCAAAAAAAAAAAAAAAAAAAAAAAGGGAAAACACCAGTCATGTTGGATCAGGGCCTACTCTTAAGATCTTATGGGACCTAAATTGTCACGTTAAAGGCCCTGTGACATTTTGAGTTTCTAGGGGTTGTGGCTTTAACATGGGAATCTTGCGGGGACACAGTTCAGCTCATTACACCCTTAGGGGAGAATCCAGGTGAAACTGTTACGTTGAATTAAGCAATGGTTCCTTAGATGAGATGTCTAAAGCATAACAAGCAACTGAAGGGGAAAAGACAGTATCAAAATTAAAAATGTTCATTTCAGAGGTTACTATTAAAGTAAAAAGACACAACCCACAGAACAAGACACATTATCCCAATAAGGGCCTGATATCAAGAATATCTTTAAAAACTTACTCAGCAATGAAAAGAAAATCCAATTTAAAAATGGACAAAGGATTTGAATAGACATTCTCCAAAGAAAGATACATAAATGCCTTAAAAAGCACATGAGATATTTAACAGAATTAGTCATCTTAGAAATGAAAATGAAAACCACCGTGAGATACCACTTCACAACCACTGGGATGGGTAAAACCCCAGTACTGGACGGTGACATGTTGGTGAAGATGGGAAAATTGGAATCTGTATATATTGCTAGTGGGAGGGGAAGGAAAATGGTACAGTTGCTTTGGAAAAGTCTGGCAGTTCCTCAGAAAAGTTAAGCATAAAATCACTGTACGACCCAGCAATTTCACTCCCAGGCATATGCCCAAGAAAACTGAAAACGTTTTTACAAAAAAATCTTATGCAAGAATCTTCATAGCAGCATTATTCGTAACAGTGAGTAGAAACAGCCCAGATGTCTGTCAACAGATGAGTGGATAAAGAAAATTTGCACACAATGGAGTATCACTCAGCCGTAAAAAGGAACAAAAGAACATGTGCTCCAATGAGCCTTGAATGTGAAAGATGCCAGCACCAAAGGTCACACCAAAGGTCAAGCACTGTGCAATTCCACTCACCTTGAACGGGAAAGATGCCGGCACCAAAGGTCACACCAAAGGTCACGCACTGTGCGATTCCACTCACCTTGAATGTGAAAGATGGCAGTACCAAAGGTCATGCTAAAGGTCACGCACTGTACGATACCAGTCACCTTGAACGTGAAAGATGCTGGCACCAAAGGTCACGTCAAAGGTCACGCACTATGTGCCCACTCACGACAGGCGTCCAGAGTGGGCAAATCCAGAGAAACAGAAGTCGGCTGGCGATTGCCAGGGGCTGGCGGAAGGAAGCAGCAGGTGCTGACTCTTAATGGATTCAAGGTTTCTTTTGCGGGTGGTGAAAAAGTCCCAGAATTAAATACTAGTGGTGATTGTTGTGCAGCTTTGAGAATATGCTAAAAAGACTGAATTGTACCCTTTAATATGGGGGATTTTATGGTTTGTAAATGCTTTTCAATGTAAAAAGAAACTAAAGAACTTATTTGGTGTTGATATTTAGAATGCGAAAGAGACTGTATCCAAAACATGTTACTATGTAACTCATGTCCCCAGAGAGTTAAACTTCATTTTCTGAGGATCTTAAAGGATGTGTTTGAGCCTAGGAGACACAACGATCCATACTATATGTTACAGCCTATCTTACTGATTTCTATCTCACGTAACAACCGTATTCAGGGAAAACGGACATGTAAACGTGAGCTGAATGCTCTGCAGAAGCACTTTCCTCTTACCCAGATGGTCTTTAGTGGTGCAGTAAGAGATGTGGTCACGGCAACGTCAGTTTAATTTCCATGGCAACAGGAATTTGGCACATCTGATGAGTTAGATCTCCCTGCACAGCTCCTAACAGGGTTACCCATTTCTGTGTGGTGTCTGTGTACGTTCTCGCTACTGAAATCAGTGATGGCACCTGCACAGACACTTGCCCGGAAATGCGCACAAAGCTGGTGAAGGCAGAGGACAGGCGAGTGGGAAGCATGGTTCAGCCCTTGCAAAGGAGACGGTTATTCCTAACGCAGAAGATTCAGGAACACGATCCTTGCGAAGACTGGTGATGTCCATGGATCTCACTGCTGTCCAGTTGTATCTGTGCAGCGAGTTACCAAAGCTGCCAGAGCCGCATGTGTTGGTATCGGTGTCATCATCATCACTCAATGTTTCTGACTTTTGGTATTGGTGTCATCGTCATCACTCAATGTTTGACTTTTCCTGGTGCTGAGGATGACTGCATGTGGCAGAAGCAAAGTGCTGGGCTTAGAAAAGAACTAGAATCTGATGATCTGTGGTATATAGAGAGGCAGGGTCAGAACCCCCCACTCCCCAATCCCGTAAGAACTGGGATCTGATGATCTGTGGTATAGAGAAGGGGGGAGGGTCAGAACCCCCCACTCCCCAATCTGATAAGAACTGGGATCTGGTGACCTGTGGTATAGAGAGGGACAAGGTCAGAACCCCCCACTCCCCAATCCGATAAGAACTGGGATCTGATGACCTGTGGTATAGAGAGGGACAGGGTCAGAACCCCCCACTTCCCAATCTGATAAGAACTGGGATCTGATGATCTGTGGTATAGAGAGGGGCAGGGTTAGAACCCTCCATTCCCCAATCCGATTGTTGAAGAAATAGTTGGCTTGGGAGGGTTTTTACTCTGAAGGTTGAAGCTGTGCATTTCTGGAGCCTGGGCTGTCGGCCGTAGTGGCTGGGGAATGCTGGGGCTGTGGTCGTCTGGCCGCTGGCAGTCCTGCTGGTGGGTCCTGCCTCTTTGACACCGTTCCTTTCTGAAGCTTGTTTTCCCCAGTGTTGGAAGTAGCAGCACTGGAGGAATGGCCTTCTTCCTACAGCAAAGCTCTGCCAGGAGAGGAGGAGAAGACATAGAGCATCTGTTGAGGGACATGACGTTCTGGGCACTGCACCATGCTTTCTGCTTCTCAGCAGTGCCTCCTGGTTGATGTTACCGTCACCTGGCATCGCCCAGGAGGTAACTCGCAGAGGCAGGCAGGGAGCAGAAGGAGCTCAGGAGGGAGTGAGCCGTCACAGGGTGGGGGAGGTTCAGGAGCCAGCAGGCAAGTGGGATGTGGCCTCAAGGTGTTGCTGGGTTGGTGAGGGGTCTTCTGGGACTTTTCTGAGAGTGCAGTCAGTTGTAGGGGTGGGTGCCGGCTCCCGCAGATAGAAGAGCCAAGTGTGCAGGAGACCAACGTGTGCACTGGGAGTCCCCAGGGGCGTGTCCTGGCACGCGGCCCAGAGGCCCCTGACAAGGCTCAGTGCACCAGGCACACAGCGGATTGTTGGTGCTTGACCCGACGAGAAGGTGAGGAAGTGAGGTGAGGGGGGCCGAGAGACAGGTGCAGGGATGCACTAGACAGGGTGCAGTCAGGTGGAGGGTCATGCTGTGGGGTCTAGGAGAGACAGGTGTGGTCAGGTGAAGGGTCACGCTGTGGGGTCCAGGAGAGATGGGTGTGGTCAGTGTGGAGGGTCATGCTGTGGGATCCAGGAGAGATGGGGGTGGTCAGGTGGAGGGTCACTCTTGGGGTTCCAGGAGAGACGGGTGTGGTCGGGTGGAGGGTCACGCTGTGGGGTCCAGGAGAGATGGGTGTGGTCATGTGGAGGGTCACGCTGTGGGATCCAGGAGAGATGGGGGTGTTCAGGTGGAGGGTCACACTGTGGGGTCGAGGAGAGATGGGTGTGGTCAGTGTGGAGGGTCATGCTGTGGGATCCAGGAGAGATATGGGGGTGGAGGGTCACTCGGGGGGGTCCAGGAGAGACGGGTGTGGTCGGGTGGAGGGTCACGATGTGGGGTGCAGGAGAGATGGGTGTGGTCAGGTGGAAGGTCAAGCTGTGGTGTCTGGGAAATGTGTTTTTGCTTTTGGCTGAGCAGCTGGACCTGAGCATGTCTGTGCTTTGACATTTAACCTGTGCACTGTCCTCGGCAGGGTGTGTGTGTCTGTGACAGAGGACACCTCAGCCAGAGTGGATGTCGGCGGTGGTGGCCGGACTCAGGGTCCATGAATGTTGCGTGGTAGAACGTGTTTGGTACATTCTCAGCTCCTGCCCAGGTGCCTCCCAAGCATCGGGTGTTGTGGCTCCCCAGCATCGGGTGTTGTGGCTCCCCAGCATCGGGTGTTGTGGCTCCCCAGCATCGGGTGTTGTGGCTCCCCAGCATCGGGTGTTGTGGCTCCCCAGCATCGGGTGTTGTGGCTCCCCAGCATCGGGTGTTGTGGCTCCCCACATCCTTCCCCATCTGCGTGTAGCACGACCACCACCTTCCTACCATGTGTTTGTCCTATCACGGCTGCTGTGTCTAATGCATGCTTTGCTTTCCAGCTACTTTACTATAATCAAAACCCTTGAAAGACTTTACCTGTGTTTCAGAGATGACAGGGTATTAGTCTTTCATGATTGCTCTGAGGATTTCCAAAAGCAAATGCACCTTACAGGATGCAAGAAATGGCAGACAGTAATTAGAGATTACTTTTCTCAGTTAGTCTTTTTATTGTGGTAAAATTACATAGCACTGTGACCATTTTTAAGTGTACGATTTGGTGGCATTAAGTGCGTTCACACTGTCATGCCACGATCACCGCCATATTCTTGGTCTCCCCAAGCTTGAAACTTGGTCTACCAAACACTAGCTTTCCTCCTACCCCAGCTCTGGTAAGCACTACAGATTGCTTATAGAATAGGCTTTTTCAGTGAGAGAAGGGGCAAGGAGAAGAGGACTCAAGACTGTCTTGAGATTTGAGGAAGTGTTTTAGGTTTTGCTCTCTGGTTCCCAGTGTAAAGGAACTATTGAAGATGTGGGAAGGTGGAAGCTCTGTGTGATCTCAGGAAGTGCTGGGCCGGGCAGCTTTCCCCCTGTGACGGGGGCACTTGCCCTCAAACACACCTGAGATAATTGTGTGAGGATGGTGCTGCGTTGTGACAGCTCTGAACTTGGTCTCCTTGAAAGTTTCCAAGTACATAAGCTTTGGCGGTTACCGTCTAGTGTCTGCGGGAGACCTAGAATTTGAACATTGTTGACTTTAAAACACGCACATCATTTTTATAACACTCTACCTGTTCTCATAAATAGGAAATATGCTGTGTCCTTTTTATTTTGCTTTAATATTCTGTGTTGCAGTAGCAGTAGTTGCAGTGGATGCTGCTTCTGATTCATGGTTATTGCCAAACACAAGTTTCTAGAAACCATGTGAAAAGTGAAGGGGAAAGTGGCTTTCTGCAAATGGCTTTTTTGATCATCTTGTTTTTTTCTGGAATATCTGTGGTGTCAAACATTTTCATATTTAGGGGTTTGTAATGTGTTTTATACTGGTTAGCGTTGAAATCCCATGTTTTTGCATATTGTAGGTCTGCTTTATCCTGTTATTCTATGATATAGCTGTTTTTGAAAACTGTTATTTCACTTTAAAAACCAAAGCAGCTTACAGTATGAGTGTGATTCCTTTAAGAATTTAATTGTAAAATTGATTTGTGTTCAATAAACTTACTGGAATGACTAGTTAGATCAGTGGACAAAAAGATAAGAACATGTCAAGTCTCTGGACCAGGAACGACTTCCAAATAATACACGTGACACACAGTAATTTCTTAACAAAAGATTAGATTTAGTACATAACTTTTTAAAACCTCTATATTTTCTATTATAGCCATTCCACAGTGCCCATGGGGGTGGGTTGCAGGACTGCCTATGGATACCAAGGTCTGTGGGCACTCAGGTCCCTGGAATAAAATGGCATAGTGTTTGCATATGACATATGCACATCCTCCTGTAGACTTTCAGTCATGTCAAGATTGCTCATAACACCTATACCATGTACTTGCCATGTGAATAGTTGTTAAACTATATTGTTTAATGAATAATAAAGTCTGAATGCTTAGTACAAACACATTAAAAAAATATTCTTGATCTATAGTTGGTTGAATCCACAGGCCTGGAACCCCAGGATAGAGTACAAACTCTAGAAGCAAAATAAATATTTAAGAATCGAATACAGCAAAGATTAAAGGATTAATATGAGCACTCTATGAAAGGTTTGCTTAATTGATGAGAAATGCCATAGGAATTCAGTAAACCCACAGAATGATGTGAACAGACAACTCGCAACTGAGGTCATATAGCAGATTCACAAAACGCACGGAATGACGTGAACAGACAACTGAGCTCGTAGAACAGATTCACAAAACTCATGGAATGACGTGAACAGACAACTCGCAACTGAGGTCATACAGCAGATTCACAGAACACACGGAATGACATGAACAGACAACTCACAACTGAGGTTCATATAGCAGATTCATGAACACAGAAAAAGTTCTTAGTAGTCATGTACATTTAAATTATGTGCTGCTTTTTGCTAGTGAGCACATTTTTCAAAGTCATATTACCCAGTGCTTACAATTTTTTTGATATAATTTAGAATTGTGATAGTATTAATAGGTACAGTTATCTTTTGTTAAAAAGAAACGTTTTCAATAAGAACCTTAGAATGTTTATATCCCTTCCTGGGTAATTTGAGGTTCTTAGACTTATTTGTGAGGTTCTTAAGTTTGGCTAGAGAACAACAACAAAAACCCAAAACACTGAAACCCAGAGGCTGACAACATTGACTTAGATCTGAGAGCACAGGCAGGCCCCATCATTTCCACGTTGAGACCCTGAACCATCCCTCTCTCACCCTAGCCCCTGTACGGTCCGGACTGGAAGAGTCCAGGATTGTGGCACCTGTTTATGATGAAAATCTTCAGGAGACTGGGCACAATGGCTCATGCCTCATGCCTATAGTTCTAGGGCTTTGGAAGGCCAAGGCTGAAGGATACCTTGAGGCCAGGAGTTTGAGACCAGGCTAGGCAACCAGATAGCAAGATCCCATCTCTACAAAAAAGAACTAGCCGAGTGTGGTGGTGCACACCTGTAGTCCTAGCTACTTGGGAGTGGGAGGTGGAAGGATCTCTGAAGCCCAGAGTTTTAGGCTGGTGTGAGCTATCATTGTGCCACTGCATGCCAGCCTGGGTGACAGAGCAAGACCCTGTCCCAAAGAAAACTCCTCGGGAAGCATTTGTTATCCACAGAGGATACAGAGTCTAGAAACAAAAAGCTTAAAAATTTAAAATACATTCACAGCCAGGCACGGTGGCTCGTGGCTGTTATCCCAGCACTTTTGGGAGGCCGAGGCAGCAGATCGCTTGAGGCCAGGAGTTCAAGACCAGATTGGCCAACATGGAGAAACCCTGTCTCTACCAAAAATACAAAAAATAGCCAGGCATGGTGGCGCGTGCCTGTAATCCAGGCTGCTTGGGAGGCTGAGGCAGGAGAATCGCCTGAACTTGGGAGGTGGAGGCTGCAGTGAGCCGAGATCGCCACTGCACTCCAGCCTGCACTACAGAGCGAGACTCGGTCTCGGGGGAAAAAAAAAAATTCGCAGACGAAAGATAACTGCTCGATATTTAGGGAGACCCCAAGAGCTTTGCTTATTGCCAGAGCAATGGGTTTGCACCACCTAGAGTTGACTTACCAGCCTGTGTCTCGTGTCTTCCCTCATCCCTCTCCTGTTGTCATGTTAATGGGGGAAACACAAGCCTGGCTGAAACATGGGTGATACCCGTGTCCTGGGTGCCCTGGGCACAAGTGTGCGGGGGAGGGGGACGGGGGGCAGGATGCTGGGTGCCCTGGGGACAAATGTGTGGGGGGCAGATGCTGGAGCCAGGTCGTAGTTACTTGTGTTGTCTGAGCTTCCTTGGGCATTAGAGGGCTACTTGTGGGAAGAAAAGAGGCGAATTGAAAGGAACCGGAGTCTGCGCCAGGGTGATCCTTATTAGTTAACGATGGGTATTTTAGAAACAGTTTTAAATAAGAATCCTTTCAGTGGAGAGAGTGCACTTGCTCTGTTTGAGTCATTTACCCCGAAATCACAGAGATTCTGGTCCAGGTCAGGTCTGGGGAGCTGTGCAGGGCTCTAGATCCCACTGCCTCCTTCATACGGCCTTGCCTCTGTGTGGTGAGGTTGTCACAGGGGCCAAGATCCCACGCCCTCCTTCATACGGCCTTGCCTCTGGGTGGTCAGGTTGTCAAACTCACTCCACCCTCACTTCTTCCCCCACAGAGGGAATCAGACTTCACCTGGGACCTGGGTGAGTCCCTTCAGGCTGCCTGACAGGGTGCAGTGAGGAGAGCCTGGGGTGAGATGCAGGACACAGCCAGCCTCATGACTGATGCCCACCTTCTTTTGTTCATCTTCTATGACTACAAAATGGGTGGTGGTGTCACGGCAGGGATGATAAGTTCTGGGAAAAACAGAATAAAGAACTGGCGTGTGTTAACTTTGAGATACTCAAGTAGAACACAGAACTGGGGGGTCAAGAAGATGGTTTCAGATGACTGCCTTTTCCCTTTGGATTTCCCACACACTCTTCTGTTCACGTGGAAGCTGTTTGCTGGAAAGAAGGTTTAATCAGTTAAAACCGAGTCATAGCTTAGGCTTCCAAAAACAGCACTCACTGTCTTTGTCTTAGCACCTCTCAGGATGGCCCCCCCTCCACAGAGCACTGGGAGTCAGTCCCATGAACGAATTCTGAATCACATTCACTGTCTGTCCGGCTCCTGGTATTAAATTGTGTCCTCCCAAACTTATGTCCCAGTCCTAGCCCCCAGGACTGTGGTGTCCCTGTTGGGAGCAGGTCTTTGCAGATAGATACAACGCTGGCCCCCCTGGGACTGTGATGTCCCTATGGGGAACAGGGTCTTTGCAGATAGATACAACTCTAGCCCCCGGGACTGTGACGTCCCTATGGGGAACAGGGTCTTTGCAGATAGATACAACTCTAGCCCCCGGGACTGTGATGTCCCTATGGGGAACAGGGTCTTTGCAGATAGATACCATGCTCTCAGGAGATATCCTGGATATAGGGTGGGTCCTACGTCCCAATGGCTGGTGTCCTTGGAGAGGAAAGGGAAATTTGAGACACAGAGAAAAGGGCTGTGTGAAGGCAGAGGCAGAGATGGGCGTGATGTGGTTTCAAGCTGAGGGACGCCTGAGCGCACATGCTGGAGGAGGTAGCAAGGATCCCACTTGGAGCCTGCGGTGGGAGCTCGGCCCTGCCCACACCTTGATTGTGGACTTCTGGCTCCCAGACTGGGAGAGAATCAATTTATATTGTTGAAGCTGCCCAATCTGGGACATTTGTTATGGAAACCCAGGGGAGCTGACGTACCATCCATCTGAAAATACTCTTTGCACCCGAAGTGTGCCTCAGGATGGAAGCTTACGGGAGCAATGGGAGAGAAATGTTGAAAATGTGGCATTTGCATACATATAAGTATGTGTATATGTTTATAATAATTATTTTGACCTAATTCTCAGAGTACACTGCAAGAGCAAATGTGACCCAAGGTGTCGTATTTCCTGGAGTTAACACCAATAATTCTTTGAACCAAACCTATAGGCTCCCTTTACATATTTGACATAAAAGATTTGAGTGCAGGTGTATGACTGCCATAGCCCACATACAGTTTTTATGATCAGACTGTAACATTGCATCTTGAGAAAAGATGGTAATATAAATGGACAAATAAAGAACTTGAGGTCAGCAGTGACGAGTGTGGGATCACACTGAATCTCGTGTGTTTCGCTGTGTCACTGCAGAGTGTAAATGGGAACCATTTTTAGCTTAAGGTAAAATAGGTAACAGGAAACACTACAGAATGGGTACAAAGGCATGCCCCTCATTACCAAAGATTACAGCCAAGTGTCTGCCTCCTGGGGAAGGATCTGTTCTGTGGGGAGTACTAGACGTGGATGATTTCCAGATGTGTGAAGGGAAATGCCCCCCGAGAAGCGTGGCTTTGGCCGGAGCATGTCAGATGAGAGTTAGCACAGCATGGAGTTTCCACAGCGCCCCTCTCGCCTGCTGCTTGTCTCCTCTCCCCACCCCTGGCCCTGACTCTTACCAAGGGAGGAAAGTTCAGCTCCAGCTCAGCCCACGCCTAGGGCTGTGGGTCTCTAGGGCAGGTGCCACCTTCTCCTGAACAGGCTGCGGTAGAGGAGGGTCTGGCTGTACTTGAGATGTGAGAGATGCTCTGATCCAGCATCCTGCAAACCCGGGTGCTGAAGGTTCCTTCTGTACCATCCTGCAGGGAGAGAGGGGTCAGTTCCTGCCTCCCCTCAACCCAGGCTGACTTCTTGTCTGTTGTGTACACCGAGCTCTTAAGAGTACCTATTGTTAAAAATAATCATCCAGGCCGGGCGCGGTGGCTCACGCCTGTAATCCCAGCACTTTGGGAGGCCGAGGCGGGTGGATCATGAGGTCAGGAGATCGAGACCATCCTGGCTAACAAGGTGAAACCCCGTCTCTACTAAAAATACAAAAAATTAGCCGGGCGCGGTGGCAGGCGCCTGTAGTCCCAGCTACTCGGGAGGCTGAGGCAGGAGAATGGCGTGAACCCGGGAAGCGGAGCTTGCAGTGAGCCGAGATTGCGCCACTGCAGTCCGCAGTCCGGCCTGGGCGACAGAGCGAGACTCCGTCTCAAAAAAAAAAAAAAAATAATAATCATCCAGCAGACAAACACTGTAAGATGACAGCCTGGGAGGGTAGATGGGGCTGGAAGGTAGTTTCCTGAATAACAGGGTTCAGTTTCCTGTGTTGGCGTCATTTGACCCAAGGCCCCCAGATAATTGAAATATTGTCAATCAGCAAAACACCGATGTTGTATCTTTTTTTAAAGGAATGTGCGCTAACTTCTTTCTAACAGGGACCTGACAAAAAGAGAAGGATTT
Source organism: Homo sapiens (assembly GCF_000001405.40). Classification (NCBI taxonomy): domain Eukaryota; kingdom Metazoa; phylum Chordata; class Mammalia; order Primates; family Hominidae; genus Homo; species Homo sapiens. The sequence goes on along the minus strand of NC_000010.11, from coordinate 534,438 downwards.
CTTCACTATAAGATGAAGGTCGGGGCTGGTTGGCATTTGCCATCTGTGACTAGCAGGGACCCAGGCTGCTTCCCTCCTGCCGCCCAACTCCTGACCATCTGGCTCCTGCCTCTGTCCCCACCAGCAGGAAGAGGAGTGGGAAGGCGCCTTTTCCCCTTTAAGGGGATGAAGTGAGAGTTGCACCTCCCCGTTTCGCACGTCCCCGGGGTGATTCTCCAGCATGGGTGGGAGTTGTGTTTGGAGGCCTGAGCCCTGTGAAGCTAGGGTTGCTGTTACCTGAGCAGCAGAAGCATGGACTCTGGGAAGTGGGGTCAGGGGGCGGCCTCTGCTGCATCCGCAGGAGGGGCTCCTCGTCCCAGTTGACCATCGTCACTGCAGAAGGGGGCGTGGGCTTCATGGTCCATTGATAAATAGAACGTTCCTCTTTTTTTTTTTTTAAAGCATGTCAAACCCTAATTCCTTCAGCCTTTACTAAAGTGGCATTTTATAATTCCATGTGATTTCATTATTATACCTGCAGGAGAGAATGCTTCCTGTAAACCAGAAGTGTCTCTGAGACAGTTCTCAGCCCATTTAGAAAGTTCATTTTCCCACGGTTCAAGACGGCCTCAGGAGGGTTGAGGACACATCTGTGACACGGCCTCAGGAGGGTTGAGTAGGTGCCCGTCACTAAGCAGATACGCATTTATCTCCGTGTGCAGGGGGTGACTTTGAGTTCTGTTCTCTGTCCATGAGAAATTTCCCTGTGGACTAGTTGTGAGGGAGGTACGTGGCTTTTTTTTTTTTTTGGTAGGTATCTCTGTTAGGAAGAGCATGGGGAGGCAGGTTTGCCTAAGCTGTTCCCTACCTTTTCCCTTTAGCTTAGTAATTTTGGGGTCCTGAGATGTTTTCCCTTCACACTCCTGAACACACTGGCACTCTAAACTGTTGTAGGAGGCCATCTAACCTATTTAGAAGAATAAACTATTTGGAAGGATTTGAGCACCTTTGTCCTTGAGAGAAACAAGCCTTTGTTTAGTTTGCCCCGAGGCTGTTATGGTGCCCGGGCTGTGCGGCCTTGAGAAAGCTGTGTCCCCCTGAGCACCTGCCTGTGGAATCTGGTGGCTGTGAAGTTAATCCGGCAGCTAGATGTTCTGGAAAGCAGATTGCCTCGTAAAGTGTTGGTGGTGATGATTCTAACACGGGAATTTCAATGTGTTTTCCACCCTTCTTTCTTTCTCTCCTCATACCGGAGATGCTGCTGCATTTGACCTTAGGCTTCGTCGAGGGAGGGTCAGTTCTGACACTTTCTTAGATACTGACCTTGAATGGACAGAATTGAGATTCAGGAAAACCCTCGAGCTGTGAGAGTGTGCTGGGATCTATGTAAGTGGGGTTTATGTGGGAAACTCAGTAATAGTTTAAGAAATATCAATTCCAGGCTGGGCATAGTGGCTCACACCTGTAATCCCAGCACCTAAAGACCCTGATGCTACAAAAAATTAAGTAGGAGTGGTGGTGTGCACGTGCGGTCCCAGCTACTCGGGAGGCTGAGGCTGGAGGATCACCCAAGCCTGGGAGGTTGAGGCTGCAGTTGAACCGTGATAGCACCTCTGTACTTGTGGTGCACTGTGCCTGAGCGACAGAACAAGGACCCCCGCCACCACACACCCATACTCTCTCACACACCCATACTCTCTCACACACCCATACTCTCTCTCACACCCATACTCTCTCTCACACCCATACTCTCTCTCACACCCATACTCTCTCACACCCATACTCTCTCTCACACCCATACTCTCTCTCACACCCATACTCTCTCTCACACCCATACTCTCTCTCACACCCATACTCTCTCTCACACCCATACTCTCTCTCACACCCATACTCTCTCTCTCACCCATACTCTCTCACACCCATACTCTCTCACACACCCACACAAAATACCAATTCTAAATGGACAGAAACGAGGTCTTCTCAGTGGAAAAACATGCTGTTTTGGTTGCTCTAAGGTAGATGTTGACTCATTTGCCAGCAAGAAAATGCAGCGGCCAGTTTTGCTGGGACCACCTGTTAAGGCTACCCTGGGCCTCATGGTTTGAGAAGGGTCTGTCCAGGGGAGAGAGGGAGTGGCTTAAGGGCCTTAGAAGCCAGTTCTGGTTCAGCATGACTGCGGGGGTGGAGGTGGGGGCAGGGCTTTCCGGGACATGAGTGGGTAACTGGATGGGCTTCCAGGATGAGCCCCTGTGACTTTGGTGGGTTTACATCCATGCAATACAAATCCACAGGCTCTTACTCTAGAAGCTTCTGCCGGGGCTGATGGACTGGCCTGGGGACAGAGGGTGCTTTCTGGTTTAGGAGGGAGCACTCAGTCACTTCTAGGATTTATGGCACTAAAGGGGACTCGTCATACTTGGAACAGCAGCCATCTGCATTCTAGACTTGGTTCTGGGCGAAGTATTTTGGAGCCGGTTGGTACCCTGTGTTCTCTGTTTATCTATAAAACAAAGTTAGAGTTATAACTAGTTAAAACTTATTTTAAAAATTTTGCCACAGAATATGGTAGTTGTGCTGGAGCTGGAAGCTGCCGCGTGCTGGAGTTGCAAGCGTTGCCTGCATTGGCTGCTCCTCCCAGCGTGTCTGTGTTCTTGACACGGGCACCCGTCGAGGCAGCTGTTTGTCCGTGTTCCTCTGAGGTTCCACAGACTTCATGGTCCCGCGGCAGAGCGTATGATATCTGCTTGCATCCTGATTTCCCCACACCCCAGGACAGGCCAAGAATTCCTTACACACAACTGTAGAGGGCCCTATGGTGTGGGTTTGCCGGTGACACCGCCTTTCCCGAGCTCGGCCTTTACCTCCAGAGTTGGCTTTAGGGCGATAGACGCTTCCGTCAGACTGGGGGGCCCTGAACCTTTGGTGTTAGGAATTCGGTGAACGGCACGTATGATACCTCGATTCTTTGCATTTGTAGCAATAGTTGTTAACAACATGACCATGAGATGTACAGAGGAAGGAAAAAGGTTTTATTTTCAGAGTAACAGTCTACTTTGGGAAATGTGGTCTCGGGGGAACTGTAAGCACACGCCCCTCAGGAGGGGAGGAGACCGCGGCATTTAAACACACGGGAGTTTGTTCGCTGTGTGTGTTCATCAGGTTCGTGGAATGTCTGAACGTTTACAGGGAAAGTGGGGTTTGTTCGCTGTGTGTGCTCATCGGGATTGTGGAATGTCTGAATGTTTACGGGGAAAGTCACAGCACACACGCAGTGAGTTAACCTGTAACATCTGTGTTCACCTTGGGGCGAGCGTAACATTTGAAATGAGGTGGACTCAGCGCGTCACGACCAAAGATGAGCTGTTGGGCGCAGACGTTTATGTGCAGCCTCTGTCAACAGCCGAGACTGGCTCAGGGTCTGCAGCTTTTGGCGGGAAAGGATGCTCACGACGCCCTTCTGTCCAGTCGGGGCTGCCTGCAGGGTCCCAGGGTGGGGTGTCTGGTCGGCCGGCATCGGGAGTCTGCCAAGGTCCCGTGGGCAGCGTTCCTCTAAACCAGGCTGCTGTCTGACTGTGGAGGAGACTTCATGCTGGTTAACAAACTGTACAGGAGTTAGTGCCGTGGGGCTTTGGGGCCAACCTTCCTCCCTGTGATGCCGCTTGCATTTCTCTCTGGGCCTCATTGTAGCCACAGAGAGTCCATCTCGTCTGACAGCAGGGGGTGCCATGTTGACATAGTAATTTATTGTATTAATCAACCTTTTCATTACTATGTTAGTAACAGTCTTTTTTTTTTTTTTTTTTTTTAAGAGATAGGGTCTTGCTGTATTGCCCAGGCTAATCTTGAACTCCTGGCCTCAAGCAACCCTCCCACCTCAGCCTCCCAAAGTGCTGGGCTTACAGGCTTGAGCCACTGCACCAGCCTACAGCCATGTTTTTAAAAGTCAGCAGTTTAAAAACCCTACTCCTCTCACCCCCTCAAGCAGGCTGGTTGGCCTTGTACAAACTGGGGTGTCACGACCTTGGCCCCCCTTTTATTTTTCCCTTTCTTTGGCCTCAAGTTCTGATAAGAACAGCAGTTACAAAATGGGCATTAGGTGATTCTTCCATTAATAAAGCCAGAATTCTCATCAGTTAGAGATGTTTGTCCCCAGGAGTCCAGAAAGCTGTTTTGAATCAAGCCCATAGCAAATAAGGAACAAAACCCTTGGTCCTCTGCTTAATATCTGGGAAATGTGTTAGTTGCTGACACCCTTTGATCTGTGCTCACGTGCTGCATCTCCTCACGGGAAGCAAAGTCGCCCTGTGGAATAAAGCCCGGCTCACGGTGGCATGTCCGGGATGCTCCGGGCTGTCAGTCACTTAGACGGCGGCAGGCGTGGAGACTCGGCATCGTGTGCAGAGCTCGGGCAACCGGAGTGCATCCACCTTAGAGACCACACAGCCGGTCGGCAAGGTGGACGTCCAGGCAGATGGCCTGATGGGCCCGCCACGTGGTGGCGAATTAGGAATTTGTTAGCAAAGAAATGAAACTTGCCTGTTGGTCCCAGCTTCTTTGGGAGGCTGAGGCAGGAGGATTGCTTGAGCCAGAAAGTCAAGGCCGCGATGAGCCATGATCGCAATACTGCACTCCGGCCTGGGTGACAGAGTGAGACTCCACCTAAAAAAATAAAAGCAAGCTAAACCTTTCCATAGCAGGAGGGGAGAATTTATCAAAGTAACTGCAACAAAAATCTTAGATGATGTAATTTCAGTGGCTAAGTGAGCTATCCAGCCCATGTGGCTGGCTCACAAAGATGCAACGGAGCCAGGTGCTGCTGCAGCTGCCCTCCCACCCTGATCGTTTGTGGATGTTTTCTGTTTTACGGTGTTTAGGATCTGTCTCCTGTCTTTTCTGTTTTCCCATATCTCCCTTTTGGATACATAGCTCACTACTTTATGGCTAAGCAACAGTAAAATAGGTTGTCTATTTTGAGAACTAACTTTTGTGTCTTTTAAGGACGGAAAACGAAGCAGGTGACAGGAGCATGGCAACGTGGTGAATAGATTTAGTTGAATATTTAAATACTTGGCACCACTCTGATCCCTTCTTCCTCTCTCAAGCTTAATTACAGCCGCTGCCTTCTAGGACAGAGCACTTTCAGCTCTGTGAGTAGGAATTAAACATTTTCTAAATCAGAAGTTTTAGTTAAGCAGTATTTTACGTGAATACCCAGTCCATAAGTGCTCACTGTACTGGTGTGTGGTATAGAGGAAGACCGGGTCTATGGTGCAGTGTCCCAGTTCCCATCTATGAGATGGGGGCCATGAGATGGCCTAGAAGAATGTTCAGATTGTGGGATTGAACGGATCTGCCCCACTCCTGGGAGCCTCGAGTCTAACTCGACTTGGGCAGGTTCTAGGGAGATGCCGGCAGCGCCGTCCTCACAGGTCACTGGGAGGGGTTCTGGCACCATCCCCGTCAGGTGTCTCATGATCAGCTCAGCTTGCCCATCTCAGAAGCTGCTGGTAGTGTTCTCGTTCCTGTTGTTTCTTGCGTGTTATTTAGGTTCTGTTCATGTGGGGACCTAGGAAGTTCCACAGTGAGAGGAGAGCTGCTGAGTCGCCTTCCTGCCTGGACGCCAGCCCCACGGAGGATGGTAACTGCTTGAGGTTGGCTTCTGCCCCCGGCCTCACCTGTGGAAGCACTGATGCAGTGGTACTTTGCAAGCTCCTGGGGCACACTGCACCGTTGTATGGATCCACAGGATACTGTGGTATCCAAGCACGTGCTCCCGGAGGAGAGGACCCTACAGGTGCTGATGCTGGGAGTCGGCAGAGAGTCCAGCGAGTGAGACTCACTGTGACGTGCACAGCTGCCATCTGCACAGCGCCTCCTGAGTCCAAGATGGTTGTGTGATAAGTGCACAAAGCGCATCTCCAGCAAAAAGCCACTAAGTGTCCACATCCGGGATATCCACCACTATGGCTTTTTGGTGTTAATAAGATGAATGTGAGTAGCAAGTGGTCTGCGTTCTGGGGGAGCAGCGGGCGGTCTGCGTTCTGGGGGAGCAGTGGGCGGTCTGCGTTCTGGGGGAGCTGCGGGCGGTCTGCGTTCTGGGTGGGCAGCGGGCGGTCTGCTTTCTGGGGGAGCTGTGGGCGGTCTGCATTCTGGGTGGGCAGCAGGCAGTCTATGTTCTGGGTGTGCGTGACGGTGCCACTGCGTTTTTGTTTTTATGTCTTGGTGAAAGGCATGAATGGCTCCTGACTAGGGTAGGTAAGGATGCTGTGACCAGGGACTCTGCAGTATTGTAGCTTGAGGAACCAAGGAGGTTTTCTCTCTCGCAAACCCTTCAGGGGGGATGTTCCAGGCTGGTGACTGCTCCATGAGGTATTCAGGGATCCAGGTTCCTTCCAGACACCTGCCCTACATTCCCAAGGACACGACTGTCCTTGCTGTGGTTGGGGCTGGGTGATTGCCATGCTGGCGGGGGAGGCTTAGGGTGAGAGTGGCCATCATTTACCTAATCTACATAATTACGTGGAGCTGGGAGTAAAGTGTAGCCGTGGCCTGGAGGATGGACGATGGATGTTGGTGAACAACTGGCTGCACTCACCGCAGCTGGCCCAGGGACGGGAAGGATGGCTGATTATGCCATTCAGCGGTACCTGGTTCTTTCACATTTGACTTTCTTATGGATTTTCTGTTGTACAGAGGAGAGAGCCTGTGGTTCTAGGCCAACCATCTCACTCATCTCATAACATCTTGTATCCCTTAGCCAACATTTATGTCAAGTTTTAGAAGTCCTACAAACTGGCAAGCATTTCTCAATCTGGTGTAACCACTGGATTTTATATCTGTGTCTGCATCTGTATTTACATCTCTGGTTATTTGACACTCTGTAGTACATTTGTAATCGGTTCCATTTGGTGGAAGTTACTTTCAACAAACTCTTGCTGCTACTTGAATTTTCAAGGTTGCAAGTAGAAATGAGGGAATAAACACCACATCTTTTTGCTCTAATTTTAAAATTTGTTGTTCCCCAAATCACACCATAAGTACAAATATTAAAAATTACAAAAGCAGCGGCTGAAGTCAAGGTTAAGGCATTTCTGGGTGATTTTAGCTAATCAGCAATATTTGCTGAGGTGTGTGGAGCAGAACAACATGCCAAGAAGCCCAGAAGCGGGGAGGGTCGGGAGGCCAGGCCATGACTTCAGAGGTGCTGTTTTGTGAGGGAGAGGAGCTAGATGCAGAGATGATAAACAGCTGCAGATGCACCCACTGCCGCACTTCGCACGGTACGGGGCCTTTGTGAGCTGAGTTATGAACCGGGTGAAGGCTGTGCAGGCGTCGGAGAATCCAGGCCAGATGCGATGGGTGGAGGCTGGGTAGAGGTGAGGAGCCAGACAGCCTCACTGAATGTGTGGTGGCTCACTGCAGACAGCTGTCCCCCAGGACGGCTGCCCTTACCCTGTCCGCCTCCACCTACTGAGGCCTATAGGTGTCGCAAGTGTGTGGTTTCTAAACAGACTTGGATGAGTTGCTTGCTGCCTGATGCACCTGGACAGGCGGAGGGCTGGTTATCCATGATGGCACCAGGGACTCTGCCGGGGACTGGCAGGACAGAGCCTCAGAGCACGGCACCAGTTCCCTGGGAGAAGATGGTGCTGGCGGGACGGAGGAAAGAAGAGGCACACAGTGCTGAGGCATGAATGCCAGTTTGCTCTTAGACATGACACAAATGCCTTCCGGAAGTTTCCACATAGGCGCAGTTAAAGCCACCAGTGTGGACGAGTCCTTAGATCAGGAGACCCAGAACATATGTGTATTTGAGATCCTTCACGTGCTGCCATCTCTTCAAAGAGGACCACAAGGTCGTCTCTAGTAATGTAAAACTAACATAAAAGAATTTTTTATTAAATGCCACGGATTTTTTTTTTTTTTTTTGGTGGGGTAGGGCTGGTGTGTGACAGAAAAACAGCGGATACGGTGACACAGCTGGTGGGTGTTGGTTCTGGGCCCCAGCTGTGCAGCTGTATGAATAGAAATTAGTCTCTACAGTGGTATGAACCTAAACACCTGGATTACATGTTTTCATGTATTTAACATAAATAAATGCACACATTTATATGCTAAACACACATTTTTCTAAATTTTATGTAATAAAATTCACACCTTCAAGTATTTAGCATAGAAACAGCTGTGCAGCATCTCCCTGCCCACAGCCACTTGGACGTTCAGAGTGGAAACCACGCGGCTGTGGGCTTTGTGAGTGGTGAGCCGTGCACAGGTGTGCTGCATTTGCTGTGTCTGCTGATGTGAGCCCCGGTCGGTCCTGTTTCAGGTGGACGCTTTCCTTTGTAATTCCCTTCTCTCATTCTAAGTTCAGTAAACTTGGGACCGATGGTGAGTGTAGGCACAGAGGAGCGCAGCATCGGCAATTAAGGAAAATCCACGCCAGGCGTTGCAGAAGGAGGTGGTGTGCGGGGGTTCCACTGCCTGTGTGAGCCATGACTGGTGAGGGCCTCTGGGCAGCAGCTCACCTGGGCTACTTGGAAATGCAGATTCCTGGGCACAGACCTGCTGGGACAAAACCTGAGAGGCCCTGGGTTGACTACCCTCCAGGGATTCCATCCAGGCTTGGCCATCATGTCTCTTGGCAGGTCACTCAGGCCCGGCTGTCTCATTGAGATGCCTGGCCATCGCAGGGTTAGCTGAGTCACCTGCACAGCTGGTGTGGGTGTGCTGATGGGTGTACGGGGCTGGCCTGTCTTCCTTTCTCCACCTACGAAGCATTCAAAGGCCTGTTATCCTACCCTGTTCTCTCCCTGTCCTCAGTGGGCAAGCAGGAGGTTCATTTTCACTTGCAGATGAGGAAAATTCTGAAGTCTTGTAAAGCAGCCAAGATCATATTCAGAATCTTCTTTGTTCCAATCAGCTCGAATTTTTACAGTTAGAAAGACTTTTCCTCAAACACTTTGTATTTGTTCTGTATGAGAAGTGCCGTAGACTTTGCTGTTGTTTTACTAATTAGTATCTGTACTGTGTTCTGCTGTCCATCACAAATGTATGTATTTTCATTCTGAGATACGCTGAGTCTCAGCCTTTGCAATCCAGAGGGATTTCATGTGTGTTCATAAAAGCTTCTATCAGAAACCACATTCCGAATAGCTGTGGACATACAACCTGCTTGTGACTTGGAAATTGCTGAAGTCAAATTCTATCTCGGTTTGAGGCGTTAGGAGCTTTAGAAATTTTGAAATTATAAAATGAAAATGTGATAAAATTAAGTACATTTAAACAAAAGAGATATGCTGTGGGTTTTAAGGGCTGTGATGCATTTAAGAATGCTTTTCTGTATTTTAGATTTGGTTGTCTTTAAGGATGTCATGTTCCATCCAAACTACAAATACATGAGATAATTTAAATGTAAGTTGAACCCTTCAGAATATCCTGGATTTGGTCTTGATCTTCTGACCTTGAAAATGTGATTCTTTTTTTTTTTTTTTTGAAATTGTGATTGTCTTAAACTGTGTGTCTAGACCATCTCCTCTGAATTGCTTTGGAAACATCTGCACGGGCATCTTCCTGTTCTTGAGTATAGAGAGGTGGACATCATTACGCTTTAAAATAGCGAAAGTCCTGTAGAGCAGTTTTTCTTAATCAGTGATGGTATTTAAAAATGAACTCCCTAATGCTTAAACTAATGAGCTATTATTGTTGGAAGTATTCAAGGTAGCAAGTTATAGAATCTCTCAGTGAAAGTGATTTGAAATAAGAAATTGCGAGAGTGCAATGCATTCTTTGTTTTTAAAATAAAACGCTAATACTTAGAGAATGTTTTGTTTGCAAGAATGTAAGATGTTATGTCTTTGTATAGAATTTAAGGATAGTAATTTGCTTCTGAGATCTTTGAGATTTGAAATCTCAACTATGGTTTATCGTCCATGTTTTATACATTTGCACATATACACATATATATGTAAGGTATATAAAAGTAGAGGAAAATAAGCATGTATATATTTACATGTATATACACTTCTATAATGTGTATACTTCCAGTCACATATAGGTCTGAGTGACTGATTTTACTTGATGACCATGAAGGTAATTAAATAATTTTCCTGCTGTTAGCCTTGCTTTTTGCATCTGAGCAGGGACCCTGTGAAGTGTGCCTCCCGCGTTCCAGGCCTCACACAGTCTGTACCAGGGTTTGGAAGCAGGGGTTTTTCTGCAGCCACTTCAAGAAGCAGGTGGTTGCCAGGATTGCCTGGAGCTCCAGGCTGCCTCCAGTTCCAGCCTCCCTGGGGTAGAAGCTGCCCCACTAGGGGCCTTGACATGGACGTTAGGGCCTGGAGCCAGGGACTCCTTCCTGAAGGGGTGCTCCAGTCACGGCTGGGCGTGAGAACTGAGGGCGGGAGGTGGAACCAGCCTCGGGCCATTGCACGGCCTCCTGGGAGTGCTTATGGGAAGCCCCAGCCACCCTTTGCTGACCCCACAGCCAGCATCAAACTCTGAGATCCCCTTGGCCCACCCCTCAGGTTCCTAAAATGCTTTGGGTTTCCTGGGCTGCGAATTTTTAGGTCTAGGCTAAAAGGTCCTGGGACAGAGTCACAGGGTTCTTTATGTGTAAAAGCGACAAGTGTGCTGGTAACTCAGAGCAGTCCCTGCATCCTCGCTCCAGGGTCCTTTGCGTCAGGTGGAAACGGGCGTGTTGGTCACACAGAGTCCCTGCATCTTCACTCCAGGGTCCTTTGCATCCAGTAGAAACGAGTGTGTGGGTGACACAGAGTCCCTGCATCGTCACTCCAGGGTCCTTTGCATCCGGTAGAAACGAGTGTGCGGGTCACACAGAGTCCCTGCATCCTCACTCCAGGGTCCTTTGTGTCATGTGGAAACGAGCGTGTGGGTCATGCAGAGTCCCTGCATCCTCACTCCAGGGTCCTTTGCTCAGGTAGAAACGAGTGTGTGGGTGACACAGAGTCCCTGCATCCTCACTCCAGGGTCCTTTGCATCCAGTAGAAACGAGTGTGTGGGTGACACAGAGCCCCTGCATCTTCACTCCAGGGTCCTTTGCATCCGGTAGAAACGAGTGTGTGGGTGACACAGAGTCCCTGCATCGTCACTCCAGGGTCCTTTGCATCCGGTAGAAACGAGTGTGTGGGTCACACAGAGTCCCTGCATCCTCACTCCAGGGTCCTTTGCTCAGGTGGAAACGAGTGTGTGGGTCATACACAGTCCCTGCATCCTTACTCCAGGGTCCTTTGCATCAGGTGGAAACGAGCTTGTGGGTCAGAGTCCCTGCATCTTCACTCCAGGGTCATTTGTGTAAGGTAGAAACGAGTGTGTGGGTGACACAGAGTCCCTGCATCCTCACTCCAGGGTCCTTTGCATCAGGTGGAAATGAGCGCGTGGGTCACGTAGAGTCCCTGCATCCTCACTCCTCAGGTAGAAATGAGTGTATGTGTCACACAGAGTCCGTGCATCCTCACTCCAGCGTCCTTAGTGTCAGGTAGAAATGAACGTGTTGGTCACACACAGTTCCCTCACTCCAGGGTCCTTTGCTCAGGTAGAAACGAGCGTGTTGGTCATGCAGAGTCCCTGTATCCTCACTCCAGGGTCCTTTGCGTCAGGTAGAAACGAGCTTGTGGGCCACGCAGACGGGGAGAACGTATCTACAAAAGGCTCATCTGATAAAGGCTGTTATCCAAACCATGCAAGGAACTCTCAAAACCCAATAATAAGAAAATGAACCACCTGATGAAAAAATGGACCAAAGACCTTGGACAGATACCCCAACAAAGAAGAGACACAGATGGCAAATCCACATGTGGAAAGATGGTCCGTGTCTTATGTCGTAGGGCGAGGCGCCACTGCGCACCCAGCAGCCTGGCCAAAACTGGAACTGCGACACCGCCGCGTGCTGGTGGGCGTGTGGGGCATCAGGACCCTCACTTGTGGCTGGGAAAAGTGGGGCAGCTGCTGTGGAAGGCGGTTTCCCATGGAACTAAGCACTCCGACCACAGGAGCAACCACAGTCCTGGACATTTACTCAGGAGCTGAAGTTTACTTCCATGCGGAAATCTGCACACAGATGTTGACAGCAGCTTTTATAACTGCCAAAACTTGAAAGCAACCAAGATGCCCTTCAGTAGGTGAATGGATAAACTGTGGTACATCAGAAACTGGGATATTATTCAACACTAAAAAGAACTGGACCACTAATCCATGAAAAGACATGGAAGGATCTTAAATGCATGTTGCTAAGTGAGAGTCCAATCTGGGAAGGCTGCCTGCTGTCTGAGTCCAACGACAGGACAGCCTGGAAAAGGCACAACTGCAGAGACAGTAAAACCGTCAGCAGCTGCCAGGGGTTGGGGAGGGGAGGGGTGAATGGGAGGAGCATAGGGGCTGTTTAGGGTGGGGAAGCAACTCCGTGTGGGGCTGTCATGGGGGATCCATGCTGTTCCACGTCTGTGAAACCCACAGAGTGAGCAGCAGCAGGCTGAGACCTCGTGTGAGCTATGGACTCTGGGTGGTGGTGCTGTGTTGATGCGGGTCTGTCATTTGTACAGACATGCTGGTCCGGTGGGGGTGGGGGAATGATGGAGGCTGTGCATGTGCTGGGGAAGGAGATACGTGAGGACTCTGTGCTTTCCTCCCGATTTTGCTATGAACCGAAAACCGCTTTTTAAAAAGTCTATTGAAAAGGCAAACAAAAAATAGTGCTGGCCAGATAGAATCTGTGTGAGGGTGTCTCCTGTGTTCTACATTCAGGATTTCCCCATTAGAATACACAAATCTAAATTATTCAAAAGTTAAACCTTTGCATTAAGTAACTCACTACAAAGTTAATTACAGTATCAGTGAGCTTGAGCACTGCCAGGATAGCCAGGATCCTATATCTGGACCGGCTTCTCCCCTTACAGGTGCAGTGATGCTCATGGTCTCACCCCAGTGAGCAGCAGGGCTGGGACCACACGTCAGGCTTTGGGGGGCAGAGAGGAAGCGAGACTTGTAAGCATGTGCCTGGGGGCAGGCAGGGATGAGCATGTGGCCAGGGATGATTTTTTGACGAGTTTTCCTTATCATTGAGGCCTTCTCTTAGACTTGGGGAGTCGGGAGTCCCCACTCAGGCACCTCAGAATCCACAGGCTGCTCGTAATCCTCACATTCCAGATGCCTCAGGGGAGGTGTTCAGTTGTTGGGTGCTGTTCCTTTGTTTGCTGCTTGGTGGGATTTGCCTGCAGCATTTCTGGTTGTTTTTAAGAGCTGATGCTTGATCTGCTTAAAATCACATATGGATATTGATTTACCTGTAAAAGTTAAAAATGGAATTTGAGTTCAAAGATTTGTGAAAATGCTCGTTTGTTTACTAATGTATACATTACATTTGTGGAAATATCCAAAAGTCCAGGATTTATATTAAATACTTCTCTTGATTTTTGTAATACCTACTTGTCATATTTCCATTTGATTAATAGATGTCAGAGGGCTTAAATTTTGAGTGCCTGAATTCACTGAATTTAAAACTTAACGTCAAATGTAATTAAACTGAATGTAGCCAACAGTGTATGACTTTAAAAGTATTGATTAAAACATATATAAAAACACATATCCATGAACATGCAGATGGAGGCAACATATTAAACCATGGAAGTAGAATTAGTGTTCTTTTTCTGAGAAGACAAATTGTTAAAAAGCCCAAGGGGTCTTAGAATTTTTTGGTTTCCAACTTATTTGCCCTAAAGTGAAACTTTGGCAGCAGATGGTTGACAGCAGCAGAAGACGAGATCCTGGGCCAGTGCAGGCTCTGGGAGCAGCGGGGGAGTGCGGAAGGAGCTGCAGGCAGAGCAGGGAGCTGCTCAGACAGGTCAGGACGGCCCCAGGGCACGTGGCTCAGTGAGTGAGAAAGGGTTCATGTTTCCTGGAGAGCCCTGTCTCTGCCCACGGAAAACCCAAACTCCTTCCAACTGGGATGTGCATCTCATGTAAAAGTTGTTACTCCCAGAAAGCCAGTGGATATAGAATTTTTTTTGTATGCAGAAATTACTTTAAATTTATTTCTAACTTTATCCTTTTCTTCCCCCATCTTAAATTAATGTCTAGTAACTTTCTGCAGGTAACGCACACGTCTTCGGAAAGTGCTGTATTTCAGTTGCTGTCGGCTCTGATGTGACTTTGTGGCGTCTGATGTTCTGGTTCTGAGGTTCTGCCCAGAGCGCGGCCCTCCCTGCTGAGCGCTGCTTGTTGAAGGCCCGTGTGGAAACTTTGCCTGTAAGCATGTCGACCCCAGCCGCCTTGGTTCTCGGAAACCTTTGGGCCTGCTGAGACTTCACACGACCTTCTAAACTTCCTTGCATGACCTGTTCATTTTAGTGTTACCCATTAATTCAGATGTTTTCCAGAATGTAAGTAAACTGCTGAATGCAGGGTGGGGGCCTCCGTTGGCTCTGGGGAGAACCATCGCTGTTACTCCGAGTGGAGCTTCCTGCCCGCCATGGTGTGCTCCAAGACGGAGAAGGGTTCTTTGGGAGAAGCAGCCATCAAAGGCCCACGTCTCAGTGGCTGGGTGGCTGTGGGTGTGCAGCCTTGTGGCCATACTGGCCCCTCCCCCTCAATGGCAACAAGTAGAGGAGCAGGGGGGAGGCCTGGGATCTGTCTCCACGTCACAGCTGTGCTTCAAGACTGCGTCGTCCGTTTGTAACTAGACATGCAGAGAAAGTGTTAGCGATGAGCAGGAGACGGTTTCTGTCCCTAATGAGCTCAGGTGCGCCCTTGAGAGGGTCAGGTTTCTGTGCGGTTGATCCTGACTCAGCCTGGCTGTGGCAGTGTAGGTGACTGCTGGGCCCCTTGGCAAGGCTGCACCCACTGTGCATCTGAAACGGCCCTCTTCCCAGGCTCGTGGTGCCAGCTGGGGGGACCCAGGCCTGTGCACGTCCTGATTTCCCACCAGGATGGAGGTCCCATGTATGTGTGGGGGAGGGGAGGTGGGGGTCCTGCCTTATTGCCATATCCAATACCACGCGGGGTCAGCACTCAGGAAACGTGCTGCGTGGGTCAGCGATTGAATGAGTTCAGAAACCTCGAAAACTCAGCAGTGCAGGCTTTGGGCATGACCCATCCAGCCCCCGGGGGTCTTTCTCTGAATTTCCTTCCATGGCATCCACCTCATCCCAGGGGCTCCCCTGTCCCCTTACAGCTGTTGGCAGCTTCACAGCTTCCTCTGCCTTCCCTCCTGGGCCCTGGTGTGGCCGGGGCAGCTAGTGGCTGTGCAGACCCTGCAGCCAGGAGATCGTTGGTGCCAGCGGCTTAGGCCTGGGTTACCTGAGCCAAGGACTCCAGTGCACAGCTGGGCTCACCCCTAATGGCTGGATCGGAAGCCCTTGGGCTGCAGGTGGGGGTTGGATGTTGAAGGACAATCTGCAAAGCAGAAGGGGAAATGGGTGTGCTGGATGGACAGCTGGAGGAGTCTGTGCAGAGCCTGGGACCCAGTGCAGATGCAGAGCTGGCATGGGGAGTTTGACACGGCCACCATGGAAGTGGGCAAAGTTACAGGCTTCAGACTGACGTCGAGGGGCTGGTCTAAAATGATCCTCCTTTTCCTTTAATCCTAGTAACTGCTGGAGGTGGGATCTGTGGTGGCGGTGAGGAGAGACAGGGATTTTAATTAAACCTCTTTCTGGAAGAGGGGAGTAGCCATCTCTGTAGGACGGTGAGCATTGTCGTCTCAGGCAGCTAAGGCTGCTGTAACAAAACACCATTGACTGGCCTCTAAACAACAGGAATTTGTTTCTCACAGTTCTGGAGGGTGGAAGGTGGCATGAGGGTGCAGCATGGGTGGGTTCTGGTGTGGGCCCCTTCCTGGTTGGCACACGCCTTCTCTCTGGCCCTGACACAGTGGGAGGGCAAGAGAGTTGCTGGGCCCCTTTCTGAGGCACAAACCCCATTCATGGGGCTCCAGCTTCGGGAACTCATCACCTCCCAAAGACCTCCTGACACTGTCACGTTGGGGGTGAGGATTTCAACCTGTGCGTTTCTGGGGGAAAGCCTGTGTGGACACTGAGCAAGGTCAGAGCTGCAAGTGCGTACACATCAGGGCCAGGGGAGCTGCCAGCGGTGCAAGAGCAGGGTTTCAGCATCAATCGGAGCTGCTTTCCTGGCAGTTGTACTCATAAGCTATCCTGGCAACGCCGCTTTTCACGAAGGAGTCAGTCAGGCAGCAGGGGCAGCAGGTGGTGTTGCCAGAAGCTTGGAACTGACGGGTCAGCAGAGAAGAGGCAGAGGCCATGACCTTGGGGTGGTCAGCAGCACTGGGTGTCCGCCCTCCAGGCCTCATGCCTGTGACTGTGCAGAGACCGAGCTGACCAGGACTTGCTGGCCAGTGTGGCTGTCAGGCTGGTGATATCGGGGTGTGCTTTCCATGTGATGTTCCCTCAACCCCACGCCCACCCCACCAAACTGCCTAGCAGAAATCATGCTGCCTTTCCTTGATGAAACGTTGAGTTTCCTGTGGAGGTGTAGGAATAGCATGATTTGGCTCAAGTCAAAATACTTTGTGGTGAAACTGCACAGAAGAGGATCCTAGGCTTCCATTTGACGTTTAGACAATGCCTGAGGGTTACAGGACCCTCTTGTTAAAAAGCACCAGATGAGAAAGGCTACTGGTTGTTAATAAAGAGACCTTTTATATTATCACAGAGAGGGTGGCTTGAGATAAATTCAGTGTAACATACTTGTGTTTGTAAGCCGTCAATCAAAGGGACCATCTTTCTGCTGGTGACACGTTTCTGGTATTGATTTTGTTCTGAAAAAGGATGAATGGCATTCGGTAGAATCATTCCAAAATTCACTTGGAAGGCGTCCATATGGTGCCTTCTTTTCTTCTGACATTCTGGGTATCATGAGGAATTATTCTTGCCTTCACCGCCAGCAGGAGGCTTTTCCCAAACACCTGCTCCTCTTCGGCGTTGTGGGTGTGAAGGGGTCAGAGTGACCCTGTCTTCATGGAGCTTTCAGACACCAGGACAGTGTGGGGCGGAGCGTCGGGCTTGGGTGGGCCAGAGGCTTTCCCCAGAAAACAGCTGCTGACTCAGGACTGCCCTCGACTCCCCTCCCTTGTTCCTTCACCTAATGTCTGAATTAGGGCTGTGTTCTACCATAGTGGGGGTGTCATGTTAACTGGAAGTGTGCTTTTGTTCTGGGCAGTAAGTAAATTCATGGTACATTTGCCAAGGACAGCAAGGTTTGATTTGATGAATCCAGTGGAGAAATGGAGAAGGGAAAAGGAGAAGGGGCTTGGCTGGATGGGGATGTGTATGATGGGAGCGGAGAGGGGCGGCCATGCAGGCTGGTGGGATGGAGGGGCCAAGTCCGTGTTTCCATGGAGTCTGTCAACGTTTGACTGTGCCACTAGACCTGAACCTCTGTGCTCTACTTTTAAAAACCCCCACAGTGAGGAAGCCCCTGATGGGCCTGAGTTGGTACTTCCTGTGGCCATTGCTGGGAAGTGCCGCGGATGCCTCTCCTGGCTGATGATGGCCCCGGGCCTGGAAACTGGGTTCATCCTGAGCTCTGCGAGGGGCTTGGGTTCCATGCACAGCAGGCACCTGCGCATCCCCCTCCCCCATCCCCCTGTCCCCCCTCCCACCCTACCCCCTGTCCCCCCCCCACCCTACCCCGTCCCCCCCAACCCCCTGTCCCCCCCCACCCTACCCCCTGTCCCCCCCCACCCCCTCCCCCTTTCCCCTCCCTTCCCCCCCTTTCCCCTCCCTTCCCCCCCTTTCCCCTCCCTTCCCCCCCTTTCCCCTCCCTTCCCCCCTTTCCCCTCCCTTCCCCCCCTTTCCCCTCCCTTCCCCCCCTTTCCCCTCCCTTCCCCCCCTTTCCCCTCCCTTCCCCCCCTTTCCCCTCCCTTCCCCCCTTTCCCCTCCCTTCCCCCCCTTTCCCCTCCCTTCCCCCCCTTTCCCCTCCCTTCCCCCCTTTCCCCTCCCTTCCCCCCCTTTCCCCTCCCTTCCCCCCCTTTCCCCTCCCTTCCCCCCCTTTCCCCTCCCTTCCCCCCCATCCCCTCCCTTCCCCCCCATCCCCTCCCTTCCCCCCCATCCCCTCCTTCCCCTCCCCATCCCCCCCCTCCTCTCCCCCGCCTCCCATACTGCCCGGTTGTCCCTAATGGAAGAGAATCAATGATGCCACTTCACTGATCTCCAGGGAAAGCAGGTCAACAACAGGTTATAAACGTGGGAACATTTTGGAAAAGCTGTCATCTGCTTGTCAGCTCCATCTTTCCTGCCCGGAAGATGTAGGGAGAACCTGCCTTCAGCCCACCCTCATCCCATAACAGGATGGAGGACAAAGGTACAGAGACCCAAGTCATGCCAGTGGCTTCAGGAAACCCCCTCGTTTCCTCTCGTCGTGGAAGTGGAAACCATCCCACTGGACTAGATCTTCCTGGGGAAGCCCCTTCACCCCGAAAGCAAGGAATCTGGTTTGAGCACAGACATATTCTTAGTGCCATCACTTTCTGCAGCTAAACTCTCCGTGTGTGGCCTGTTAATCTTGCTAGTTCAGTGTTATTGGGTCCCAGGAGTTTCTGTGGGTTGATGGCAGGTGTTTACCATAGTGTTTAGAGACGAGAATAGAATTTTATCTATTGTGTGAAAATCAGGTGATAACCATTGCCGTGTGATTGCTTGGGTTGGGTGGGGGCGGTGCTCATAGCTTTTTCTGAAGGCTTTCTTATTTTTATTTTTATTTTTTTGAGAGACAGTCTCACTCTGTTGCCCAGGCTGGAGTGCAGTGATGCGATCTTGGCTCACCGCAACCTCTGCCTCCCGGGTTCAGGCAGTTCTTCCTGCCTCAGCCTCTTGAGTAGCGGGATTATTAGTGTATGCCACCACGCTTGGCTAATTACAAAAATTTTTAGTAGAGACAGGGTTTTGCCATATTGGCCAGGCTGGTCTTGAACTCCTTACCTCAAGTGATTGGCCCACTTTGGCCTCCCAAAGTGCTGGGATTAAAGGTGTGAGCCACTGCACCCGGCCCGATCCTGACATCTTTTAAATCTGCCTTCATGAACCAAAAGCCAGTCTATGTTTGAAAATCAGCTTGGAAGAGCCTAGGAGGAGAGGGATGTACTTCAGCTAGGTAAATAACTATGCATATGTTAAAAATATAGGCCACAATCTACCTCAAATGTTAACTCTTCTGCTTTGTATTTTATATCCATTTATGGTTATTCTTTCAGTATTAAGATTTTTAAAGATTCTTTTGACAATTATGGACAAGTTACTATTAAAACTCAGCTGCATTTGTAACACTTTAAAGAACCAATTGGATGACATTTTTTTCCCTGAGGCATTTTGGATAGTTATGTAATTAACGTTTATAATTCTTAATAGTGATAACACTAAGTGTTAAAATTATGGAACAATTTGTTTTTCTGAAAATTACTATCTGCCTGCTCACCAGGTGGGAGCTGATGAGAACGTGGACGTAAAAATTGTTTTTAGCTTGTATAAAAGAAGTTAAAAAAAGCTTGTTTTTTGCTACTACTGAAGTTGCTTAGCTACAGAAATGAGGTTATTGCAGGCACCTAGAATTTTACCCCCTTCACTTCCACAGTGGGAATAAATCCTCCAAGCACAGGAATCCGACATTCTGATATTGAGACTCCTAGGCATAAAGCCCCCCATGGAAGGGGGGTGGTGATTACGTGAATGTTGGCGTTGATACGGGCATCCTCCAAGCCGGACGCAGGGAGCAGGGACGTGCAGAAAGACCAGGTCCCTCAGGAGCCATGAGGAAATACGGTGTTGGCAGCAGTGGTGAGGGTCGGTGTCAGGGGCCAGGAGGAGGTGGCGAAGGGAGCATGTGCCTCAAGGCAGCCCTGGAACCCGCGGTCCTTGGAGTGAGGTCTGGTCTGCAGGGGGACACGGACGGCCATGCGGTGAGGCCCACAGACAGCCTGGACTTGGCTGCCTCAGAACCCTCTGGTGAACATTGCGAACGGCCCTGCAGGGTTGCAGTGTAAATTCCTCGGACAAAGAAGACGCCTGGAACTGTTCCCGGCACGAAGCCAGCACCCTGTGAATGGTGGCCGTTGCTGTTGTGACTGAGTGCCGTCGAACTGGGGGCATTTGTTCTGCTCAGTTCACTTAATTGGGCCAGGAGTGGGGTTGCCATGCCTTCAACAAGCTTGACGTATTGAACGAGAACTGAGTCGATAATGCACTGTGTAAATACGCTCTCCTGGCTAGAGTGAGCAAAGCCCAAGGAAGGGGGGTGGTTCTTCAGTATTAGCAGGTGTTTGTGGTGGGGCCAGCTGTGCGGCTGGCAGGGCGAATGCACCAGGAAGCCTCTGTCCCCCCGAGGTGGCCAGCATTCCTGTTACACATGCTATAGGCAGAAGGTGGGCACTGCTGGGGAACTTGCTCATGTTCCTGTTCTCTGATTGGAAATTCAAGGTTTCTGAGCATCCTACATCTGAATTTGTACATTGCCAAGACTGTACACATTTCAGCACTGTTTTTTCTGCTTTTTGGATCTATACAACCTGGCATTTGGCCGTGGCTTCCAGGACAGGCTGGATGGTGAGTGAAGTCCTTTCCTCACTGTCGATGTTTGCAGATGTCTTTTTGTATAAACTTTGTATTTCTTGAGAGGTTCGATTAGGTTTTTACTTAATGAGACTTTTAAAATTGCCATGCACATGATTCTACCAGTTACAATCGTGAGCTAACGTGAGTTTTTGGTTTTACTTTGATGAATGTTTAAACATGTGCAGGCTGGACATGGGGTGGGGGTGGAGGTCATTTATCTACTTTTCATTTCCTTCTTGGTTATACTTAGTGACTTTCAGGTAAGGTGTGGAAGGCGTGGTACAGGGTGAATTGCAGGCTGCAGTGTGGCGCAGTGGACCGCGGTGTGGCACGGTGGACAAGAAGCATGGGCTGCGGTGTGCTGTGGTGGACGAGAGCCACGGGCCGTGGTGTGGCGCGGTGGAGGAGAGGCGCGGGCCGCAGTGTGCTGTGGTGGATGAGAGGTGCGGGCTGCAGCATGCAGTGGATGAGAGTAAAGGGGAGACTTCCGTCCTTGAGGGAAACACGCGACAAACAATTTTAAAAACTGATCATCTGGCTTACATGGTCCAACAAATTCAGTTTGCAAAGTTTGACTTCTAAGTTATTGTAGTAACTTTTCCCCTAAGTCATTAATTTAGTAGCTTATGTTTATTTCTTTTGTCTAAAGCGAGTCATAAATTCTAACATGAACGACTAAACATGTAATAATTTAGGCATACAGCACCTGAAGGGAAAACTGCCAGTATGCTAAAATATTGGATACAGATGCTTAAAAAATATAATGTAGCACTCTTAAAATGCATGTGCTTTTAGCATGAAACTTGGTGAGTAGTTTTGAGCTATATTTGTAGGAATGTGTATCTTGAATACTTTAGGGCCCCACTGCAGATGTGTGCGTGAGATGTATAAATACTGAATGTTCTTCTCCCTTCCCTTAAATGAAAAACATTAGCTCCCTTTTTTTTTTTTTTTTTTTTTTCCTGAAGTGGGGTCTCGCTGTTGTCACCCAGGCTGGAGTGGAGTACAGTGGCGCAATCTCGGCTCACTGCAACTTCCACCTCCCAGGCTGAAGTGATTCTCCTCCCTCAGCCTCCCTAGTAGCTGGGATTACAGGCACCCACCATCATGCCTGGCTAATTTTTGTGTTTTTATTAGAGATGGGGTTTTGCCATATTGGCCAGGCTGGTCTCAAACTCCTGACCTCAGGTGATCTGCCCACCCCGACCTTCCAAAGTGCTGGGATTCCAGGCGTGAGCCACTGCCCGGCCAGCTCCTTTCTATAATGATGTATACAGTTGTTTTTGCTTTTTGTTTTTTGAGATGGGGTCTCACTCTGTCGCCCAGGCTGGAGTGCAGCAACGCAAATCTTGGCTGACTGCAGCCTTCACCTCCTGGGTGATCACCTCTCAGGTGATCCTCCCACCTCAGCACCCTGAGTAGCTGGGACTAGATACATATCACCACGCCCAGCTAATTTTTTATTTTTATTTTTATTTTTTATTTTTAGTAGAGACAGGGTTTTGCCATGTTTCCCAGGCTGGTCTTGAGCTCCTGGGCTCAAGCAATCTGCCTGCCTCAGCCTCCCAAACTGCTGGGATTACAGGTGTGAGCACCACATCTGGCCCATTTTTTTCCCTTCCAGGATTAGAAGTCAACTTTAAAAAACGCTTCAACCTTGCAAATTTAATTTTCCATAATAATATGCCTCTAGGATAAAAACAAGACAGAAACAAAGAAGTATAGGTGGACTGCAGTTAAAAATTGTCAACACGACATTGCTTAGGAAGGTTGACATTTACAAAGAGCAGGAGGCCCGTTCATGCCTTTGTAAGAAGGCACTGGGAACGGCCGTCTGTGGGCGACCCTAACGTGTGCGGTGTCCTGAGAGGTGATTGTGGTGCTCACGCTTTTACCGAGGGCCTCCCGGGAGTACCAGAGGCTCTTCTCCCGCAGTCGGCCAGCCAGGCAGCAGCAGCTGGAGAAGGAACAGACAGTAAAGGACAGATATACACGGTGTTATCGTGTCACACAGGTTAAAGCCAGGCTCACTTTGTTCTTACAGTTTTGAAAAACTAATAATGAAGTCCTTAAATATGTATTGCATTTCAGGATTTTTAAGCGGTTGTGGGTGTGTCTGTGTCTCTCTCTAGCTCCTGTTCGGTGCTCCCTGTGAAGAGAGCTCGGAGCCGCCACCCTTCATTGTTGAGGTGACAGGGCCTGGAGAGGTGTGAACCCCGTGGAGGGGTGACTGACTTGTGGGGGGAGGCTGGGTCAGTGTCGGGATCCACCTCCCACCACGTTCCTCTAGGGAAGCCACAGTTCTAAGTCTTTATGGGTAAAATGAACCTGGAAGACGTGTTATTTTTTAAGAAGTAAATGCTATGTTCTTTTTTCCTCATACTTCTCCGTGTTTAAGCAGCATTGAAGGATAAGGCACTAGTAGCACCTTGGTTTGGAAACAATCTTGTTGGTTATTTTACGTTGAATCTGATATTAAGGTTGCCTGGTAACAGAAGTTTTCCTTTAACGACATGGAACTCTGTTGAATCTGTTGCCCCATTGGCTGAGCCGCCTGAAATCAGTGCTGT
This sequence comes from Homo sapiens, assembly GCF_000001405.40. Lineage (NCBI taxonomy): Eukaryota > Metazoa > Chordata > Mammalia > Primates > Hominidae > Homo > Homo sapiens. The sequence goes on along the minus strand of NC_000010.11, from coordinate 511,313 downwards.
GGCAGCTGAAGAGGCCGCTTCCCCTTGGAGGAAGCCGCTGGATTGGCAGGACACACCGCCCTTGATTGAGGCGAGTTTGCAGGAACTCCACGCTGGCACCTGCTGCTCTCTCCTGCCCCCTGCTGGCTGGCCAAGCAGCATCGCGACAGTGTGTTCAGCGTGAATGTTCACTGGGGCAGGCCAAGGCTTTTGTTCCAGAAACACCGACTTCAGAAACGGCTGTGTGTATTGAGCATGGCAAGAAAGACTTACGTGTGTCTTAAACCTCTTGAACAAAGCACGTCGATGTTTCAACTGCATCTCGAAGGCTAATAGACTTTGCTGTGGTCAATATTCAGGAGAAAATAGGTTTTAATGAGATAAAGACATGAGTGGCAAGTGACATGTTTGTGCCCCCGTATGACTAAGTGATGTCCTGGCTGTCCCACACCACCAGCTCTGAGCAGCCAGCATGCAGATATTGGGTCAATTTAGATATCCCTGATCTTTACGGAGGTTTGATCAGGCAGCTCAAGAGCAGATAAACACAAATGCTGACTGGAAACCCCGGCACACGGAGGCGCTGGAAACAGCAGGCTGCTGTTAACGTCACAGTGAGATGCAGTCAGCTGCTCTCTCAGGGGTGTCAGCTTCTTTTGCTTCTAGATTTCCGTCTGTGCTGCAATAGAGTTTTGTTCAGCTTATCCCCATTGCTCTGCTGTCTTCGCTGTTAAAATCTCAGCCAGCACTTGGCTCTGACCCTGCAGTAATTTCACTGTGCGGCTGCCCAGGCCTGCCTGGCACGGCTGTAAAGCAGGCGAGAGCTTTCCGGAAGGTGGTCACGAGAACCCCAGGCGGGAAAGAGCGTTGCTGGTCCACATACGGCAGTGCACCTGCAGCTGAGCATGTACGTGCACGTTCAGGCTAAATATAGGTGCAGGAGAGAAGAAAACTGCCTATGATTAGTCACTTAAAATGCCGAATACCCAGCCCCTGAGACCCTAGGACACAGAGCAGGGGTCTTGGAGACGGCAAGGTGTGTTGAAGTCTGGTTTTATCATTTAGTTTCTCCAAGCAGCATTTTCCTCATCTCTAAACTGGGGCTAACAACTGCCCCACATAGATTTGTGAATGGAACCAATGAGTGTAAAGTGGGGTAGCCCCCAGGACCTAGAAGGGACTCAGTCAGTTTCAGTGGTCATGCGTGTTGTACGGGTCCCCCAGGAAGGCGATTGCTACAGATAACTCCCTCCGTTCGATGTCACTGAATGTTAAAGTGGGACCTTGGCTTCTGATGTGTCTGGTTTGCTGCAGGCCGCGCTGCACCCCGTGGTTCCTGAGCCCTGGGCTGAAGTAGCCCTGCTGCATTGCCTGTGCCACTTTTGCTGTGAAAGGAGAACTCCTGCCCTGGGAAGCTTCCTCTTGCTGCTTAGCCTGATGAGCACCACAGGCTGCAGCGAGACCCATCTGAAGCGTGGGTTGGGAGGAGACTGCGGCGGCCCTGTCCTCTCCAAGCTGCTCTCCATGCCGAAGCGTGGGCTGGGAGGAGACTGCGGCGCCCCGTCCTCTCCAAGCTGCTCTCCAGGATGGGAGCGACTTTGTGGGGTTTGTCGGCCCTTCTCTGAGGTGTCCTGTGTCTCATGGATCTGCTTATGAGCCCCCTTAGATGCCTCTCTCTCGTCTGGACGAGCACCCTCCAAAACACTGCCTACCACCCGGATCTCCTGGCGCAGAGTGAGGTCACACCTGCAGCCCTTACCGCACAGAGTCCCTGAGATATTCGGCAAGAATGGGAATGGGCTGTGTGTGAGTTTCCGCTGCGGAAGCCGGCTCTGCTCCGTAGTCTGTCTTTGGGGTGTGGGATGTTCCGACCTGCTGTGTCCATCTGGAGCTGCCTCGGGGTGGGAGGGGGAGCAGCGCGGATGGATCCAGGGAAGGACCTGGTTGAATCCCAGCTGCTCACATACTTGTTGCTGGTCTTGGACAAGCTCCTTAGTGTCTCTGAGCTTCAGTTTGTCTGTAGGAGGAGGATGCTGCAGAAGTCTGAAGATATCGGTGCGTGCGGGAATACCTGGCGCGGTTAGGACGGGTTTTCCTTCAGTCTCCTCTATGCCCCTCCCCGGGTGAATCAGTATCCACGCGTGCCACCAGGGAATTACAGTCAGTCTAAAAAACCAATCGACCCCTAGTTGTATGGTCAAGCATCGTGAGTGTCCTTGCCAGGAAATGCCACTAGATATCTTGGGCCTGCTCGTCTGTCCACAGCAGTCCCTGGAACAGGCCGGTTCAGGACATGGGAGGTGGGAGTCAGTGTTCTAGCGAGGACAGGCTGAAGTTAAAAGGCTCATTTACTCTGTGAAGGGGTGCCCAGGATGAGACATCCAAGAGGTGCCAGGTGGCTGACCCTGGAGGTGGACGGTCGGGTCAGAGTGGCCGCCTTCCAGCACTGCTGTTGGAACAGCCGTGTTTTCGAGTGATGCCTTTTTTGGGTCATGCAGCCCTGATCAGTAGTACACAACTTCCCATCTCCAGCCAGTCTCGTCTCGCCATCTCCTGTATGTGCGGTACAGTTGCCTTTAAGTGGCTTCTTCTGGACGCTGCGGTTAGGGTGGCAGCAAGCAAACATGGGAGGCTTTTTTCTTACGTTGACCAAAATACGTGGGGCCAGCTTTGCATGATCCCATTCAGCATCACACTTGTCCATCAGCCACTCACCCATCCATCCATCCCAGAGAGTCCTGGACCAGACCATTGAGTGGTCTTTGCTGCGAAGAGCTTAGCGGCTCACAGGAAATCCGGAACCAGCACAATGGTAACAGTGCAGCAGGACCTGTCATTTATCAAGGCAGTATGCTGGGCCGGATGCGGTATGAAATTATCCAGTTAGGTAAGCACTGTTAGAATTAACCCCCTTTTGCCTACCAGGAAATCGAGGATGGGGGCATTAACGCTGGGGAGCAAGGGAGTAAGGGCACACATGGAGGGGCTGAGGGCCTGGGCACTCTGAGCCTGTGGATCTGCGCCCAGGCTGCACGGGCACCGGAGATGCTGCTCTGGAGTGGGTGAGGGGCTCTGGGGAAAAGATGGAGCCTGACATGGGTAAGATTTGGATATTTTCAGAAGAGATTTTCAGCCTGGAATGAGGGTGTAAGTGACTGAATCGCGGTGGTGAGCCAGAAAGCCTGGCTGCACGAGCTCCTCTGTGGCGTGAGGGAGGAAGGCGTTGGGGGAAGGTGGCTGAGCAGAGGTGCTGGGTCATCAGGAGCTGCTCTGTGCTTGGAAAGGGAGGGAAGGGCAGCACCCTGCACTGGAAGAGCACAGAGACGTGGTTGCAGCTCTTCCTGACCAGGACAGGCACAAATGGTGCTGATGATACAACGCATGGACTCTGTCTTCAGAAAAAGATTGTGGAAAAGTCTTCTCCTGTCTTTTAAAACTTGGGCCCCTCATTTAAACTTGGTGGCCTCAGGTGAATGGTCAGGAACAGTTTCTGAGGATGATGCAGAGATTGTCTGCAGCCTCTGATTGTGCTCAGGTTTTCACAGATGGGGTGGGACATGGGCACTGGGCTGGAATGCTCTAACCTTCGATCTTCAATCGTCAGTACTGAAAGGAATGTGCGGGAACAAACTCACCTGTGCGCATATGTATCGTTTTCAAAGACGGACGAGCTTTTGGGAAATATCTAAAGATTTCAAGTTTTGAAGGAAGCTGAGATGACACTGGAAACATCAGGAATCTTGGCTGATGACCAGGTCCGTCACCGCGCACACAGTCCCTAACCTCGCACGCCTCTGATTGGACACAGCGGGTGACCGGGTCCCTAACCTCACACACCTCTGATAGTGCACAGCGAGTGACCAAGTCCGTAACCTCACGCCTCTGTGCATAGCGGGTGACCAGGTCCCTAACCTCAAAAGCTTCTGATTGGGCACAGCTGGTGACTAGGTCTGTAACCTCGCACAGCTCTGGTTGGACACAGCGGGTGACCAGGTCCCTAACCTTGAAAGCTTCTGATTGTGTGCAGCTGGTGACTAGGTCTGTAACCTCATACGTCTCTGATTGGACACAGCGGGTGACCAGGTCCGTAACCTCACGCCTCTGTGCACAGCGGGTGACCAGGTCCCTAACCTCAAAAGCTTCTGATTGGGCACAGCTGGTGACCAGGTCTGTAACGTCGCATGGCTCTGACTGCACAGTGGGTGACCAGGTCCCTAACCTCGCATACCTCTCATCGTGCACAGCGGGTGACCGGGTCTGTGACCTCACACCTCTTATCGTGCACAATGGGTGACCGGGTCCGTGACCTCACACCTCTTATCGTGCACAGTGGGTGACCAGGTCCTTGACCACACGCCTCTCGTCTTGCACAGTGGTTGACCGGGTCCATGCCCTCACACCTCTGATCATGCACAGTGGGTGACCAGGTCTGTGACCTCACACCTCTGTGCACAGTGTGTGACCATGTCCATAACCTCACACCTCTGATCATGCACAGCTGGCGGGTGCAGGACCCACTTCAGTGAGGGGCTCGTTTCCTGGGTGTGAGGTGGGAACGTTGCGTGGCTCGCTAAGCCCCTCCTCCGTGCTTTGGGGGCTCCAGGCTGTGGCCGGCAAATAGAATGTTGTCCCGGGAGGCCACTGTGTGTTGGGGGATAGGAGGCAGCTGCAGACTGCAGGAGTGCCCAGCCCCTTGGTGCAGGGTGGTGTAGGCATGCGTGTTGCTGGGAGTGCCTTCTGCATGTGAGTACTGGGGATTCTATTCTGGTACGTTGGCGTATCATTCAGCGTCCCCATCACATTTGAGATGAACTGTGCTCTGTGAGTGGCCCTGCCCTGGGTCATGACCACACGCTGGACTTGAGCTGTGGGAGCCACATGGACAGTTGAAAGCCTCAGACCCCAGGGCTACACACACTGAGATTTCCCAACTGCCTCTCCCCAGGCCTTGGGCTGATCCCCCTTGCTGCTGCTGTCCCAACCCCTGACATGGCACAGCTTCCCTCTCAGAAGATGTCATGCAGCTTGTCTGCTCTTCATAAATCTTATGCACATTTGGATGCCTTAGCTTCATGCAGAAGTCCTGCAAGCAGGAGAAAATGGAGCCTTGACTCTGGGCTGGTGGTCTCCAGGCATCTCTCTCCAGCTGCATCCCAGCAAGTCAAGGTTATTTAAATGTGTCTTCCGAAGGGTAACGAGCATGGGAAGCATGTCAATGCCATGCAGTGTGAGGTGGTTCTGGGAATAACAGTACCTAGCAGCACATACCAGCACTCCCTTGTGCTGCCAAATGTGACATCGTGTAGATGTCACAACCTCCTTTTGTCACCTGCGTTCCTAATCCCCTGGATTTCTCAGCTTCTTTACTTCTCCAGGAGAAAACCTGCCCCATTGTCCTGTTACCTCTGAAAGGGAGTTTTTACAGCAGGAGATGATGCTGTAGCTGTCAGTGTAGGCACATGCAGCATCCTACTGTTGTCAGGTGCGCCCAGAGGAAATATGGCTGGGCAGGTGGTCCCCATCTCCTGTGGTGTCAGGGGCACCCACAGGAAGCACAGCTGGGCAGGCAGCTCTGTCTCCCTGGTGTCAGGTGCACCCAGAGGAAATATAGCTGGGCAGGTGGTCCCCATCTCCTGTGGCGTCAGGGGCACCCACAGGAAGCACAGCTGGGCAGGTGGCTCCATCTCCCTGGTGTCAGGTGCCCACAGAGGGAATATAGCTGGGCAGGTGGTCCCCATCTCCTGTGGGGTCAGGGGCACCCACAGGAAGCACCGCTGGGCAGGCAGCTCCATCTCCCTGGTGTCAGGTGCACACAGGAATCACAGCTGGGCAGGTTGTTTATTGCCAGGAAGTACAGCTGGGGATCAGTCGAGAGCCTCAGGCAGGGGGTTAATAGATTGGAAAGGTTGAGAACCTTGGCTTGATCACTAACACACAAATTGTGGCAGTAGAAGGTGGAGATGCCCCTGTCCGTTCCTCAAATGTTTTGCTTTCTCCTGTTTCCTGAAGAGCGTCTTGTTGCCTCCTAAGATAGCTCCTGCGTGTATATCTGTATATCCTTGTAGAGGGACTAGAGACACTGCTGGGAAGTTAGTGACTCTGTGTTGATGAGGTGCCGGTTATTAGTCTGTTGCCTTAAAACATCAGCAATTGGAATTGCTCCTCGGAACATGACTGGACCCGTTGCCGTTTTCTGTACAGTTTTCTTTTGGGGAGATGCACACGGTTCCGGGAAGGGTGCTGGGCTGCAGTAATATGGGTGTGGACACAGGTCCCATCAGAATAGTATCCCTTGGAGGGCAGGGTGGGGATCCCGCGGGTTCACGGCGGTTTTGCTGAATGAATGAATGAATGAATGAACGAACCTAGCACTGAGAGTCACATGAGCTCATATGGAAACAGCTTGGAGTGTTGAGAAATGGAGATTGAAGAGCTCACCTCTTCTCTGAGTATGACGGGGTCAGCACCGCTGGAGCTGAGGGTTTGACATGCAATGAAAGCCGTGATGCAGCCATAGTGCGATTTGGTTTATATAGCTATTGCCTTCTGTTATGAAGCTGAAAAGAACCAGGTTAGCGGCCACCTGCTACTCAGGCCTTATGCTTTCTTAGGAAACAGTAAGATGTACTAAATTTTTAGTGTTAAAGTGACAGAACATGGGAACACGGGAAGCGTCTCATCTTGTCACTTGTGACTTGGACACGGAGCCCGTGGGTGCTTCTCTCCATGGTCAGACTTGGTCATGGAGCCGTGGGTGCTTCTCTGCATGGTCAGACTTGGTCACGGAGCCGTGGGTGCTTCTCTGCATGGTCATCTTGCAGCTTCTGAGTCCCATCCTCGCTCTCCCGGCCTAAGGTGGCTGTGCTAGGGATCACACCTGCAGGTCTGACGGCAACATTGTGTGCTGGGTTTCTCTCCCAGGACTTCCAGGTAGTTCGTGCCTGGAATAGTTCCATGGTAGCAGGGTATCAGCGGGTGGCCAGCCTCGGCACGCCTGCATGGATTTGCCGTCTCGGGGGTGGGAGCCCCATGGCAGACGGCTGTTTCCCTTGCGTGCCTCTTCCAGCGTGGCCTTTATTCTCCACAGGGCGTTGGAACTGATTTTTGCACAACAGTGATTTGACAGTGATTGATACGCTGTGGGTCTCCAGCCCAAGGAGATGGGGATAAATACTCTTTATTGCTCTTTCATGCTCTGGTTAGGAAGGCAGTTAGGTTGAAGGCTGCAGTTACCACCTGTGTGTGTCGTGAGATGAAGAGAGAGTATTTCCATGAAATCCTCTCAGGTTACAGAATTAGACCAGTTGTATCTATAACCCAGAAGTTGAAAGCAGTTGACTTTAAGTGTGATCAGGAATCTGGAATTTAATTTCTGAGTAAAATAATTACTGTGGAAATGAGTCTTTGGACTTGGAATTGAAATCAATGGTTGTAAATTTAGGGTAAGTCACAGTAATGGGTTTAGACAAAACGTCTGATGTAGGCGGCAGAGATTTTCAGGTGTATATAGAACCGTGATGAAAACCATAGGGGACAAAGGAGGATTGTCCTGTCCTGAAAGATGTAAAAATGCGGTTACAAATGCAGACCTCAGTGTGCATATAGAGGCCAGCAAACGTTAACTCGGTGTTTGGCACAGCAGAGGGGTAAGAGCCGAAGGAATATTGCTGGATGTTCTTCAAATGACTCTTCCCTCTCAGGGTGGAAGCTGTGGTTAGCACCCACTGGTTTTGGGTCTGTCAGTGACGACTCCTGGATGGTCAGGTGGTGCTCTCAGAGAAAGAGGCTAGGAACACTTCCATGGTTTTCCGCCAGCTTTAAGATACATCTTTGTAGCCCTTGGTTCCATTTGTTTCTCCCTTGTAGTTTTATTTTGCTTGTTAAATTTATGTATAGTAGCACTGCCACTCTCTTTTGTGGTCAGTTCTTTTAGTTTCCGAGTGCTTATTATGTCCATCCACTTCATTGAAGTGTCTGTTCGATCTTTGCCAGTTTTTAAATTGGAACGTTTATTGTCCTGTTTCTTTCCCTTTCATGTAACTTTTAGCTTGTCTGCATCTACAGAAAGTCCTGGCAGGATTTATGTTGGAATCATGATAAGTCCGCAGGTCGGTGTCCTGGCGGGATTTATGTTGGAATCGTGGTAAGTCTGCAGGTAGGCATCCTGGCGGAATTTATGTTGGAATTGTGGTAAGTCCGCAGGTCAGTGTCCTGGCGGGATTTATGTTGGAATCGTGGTAAGTCTGCAGGTAGGCGTCTTGGCGGAATTTATGTTGGAATTGTGGTAAGTCCGCAGGTTAGTGTTCTGGCGGAATTTATGCTGGAATTGTAATAAGTCTGCAGGTCGGTGTCCTGCCAGGATTTATGCTGGAATTGTGGTAAGTCCGCAGGTCAGTGTCCTGGCGGGATTTATGTTGGAGTTGTGGTAAGTCTGTTGGTCAACGTGGAGAGAATTGGTGTCTTGACTGTGTTGCCGCTTCTCCTTGGACTCGTGGCTCAGTTGAGGTAGCTCTTTCCTTTCTTTCTTCAGTGTTTTGTGGTTTTCTTCATACACATCCTCTGTGTGCTTTGTTAAATGTATACCTAAGTGTTTTTTATACAGCTACTGTAAATAGTGTTGTTTTTAACATTTAGGTCCCAAATACTAATTGCCAATACGTAGAGTACACTTTGACTGTGTGCTGTGACTTGGCTGAACTCAGGTATTGGATCTAGGACTGACTTTTGTAGATCCCTTGGGAATTTTTATACGTAGGCTTTTGGTGTGACTTGAGTTTCCTCCTTTCTGTTTTCAGTTTCTTTGATTTGTGCTCATTATGATGTCTTTTTCTGGCTTTGAGTTTAACATAGAAGCTTAGATTATGGACCTGAGACCTTACTTTTTTCGAATATGAGCCTTTCGTCCTATGAGCTTACTTCCCATCATTATTTTGGCTGCATTTCATAGATTTTAATTTTTGTTTCAGTTCACTTGAAAAGTATTTTCCTTTGAACACTCATGGTGGTTTTATTTAGTTCACCCAAATCTCATTTTAGCAAAAGATAAAAATTCATGTAGGTTTAGTTCCTGTGTGTGCCTCATAATATCTTCACATTCTGTGCATTGACCAGTAAATGATTGGGCTTATCAGGGAGATGGTTGCATGGTATATTGGTGTTGTAAAAACTATGATGTGGGAATTTGAATGTTTTTGAGACAGGGTCACTATCACCCATGCTGGAGTATAGTGGTGGAATCATAGCTCAGTGCAACCTCGACCTCCCAGGCTCGAGCAATCCTCCCACCTCAGCCTACTGAGTAACTGAGACTACAGGTGCATGCTGTCATACCCAATTAATTAATTTTGTTTTTTGTAGAAATGGAGTTTCACTATGTTACCCAGGCTGGTCTTAGACTCCTGGGCTCAAGTGATCCTCCCACCTCAGCCTCCCAAAGCACTGGGATTACAGGTGTGAGCCAGCACACCTGGCCAGGAATTGAAGTGCCACGAAGGTGCAGAGGTTTTATGTTTTGTGTTCTGATATTGCCAAATACCTGGCACAGTGCCTGGCCTGTGGTCGGTGTGTAACGCATATTCCTGAATGAATGGATATTGCGGTGCCTATGTGTTGAATTCAATGTAATTTCACTCAGTTGTGTTTCTCCGTGCCAGTCCTTTTGCCTGTCTGGACTGCTTTGTTCTGCAAGTCACCTTGTAATACGATCATATTCTTCGATCGGTTTTGCACTTTGATTATTGACCTTTTTTTCATTTTAAATGAAGCCTCCCCATTCTTTCTGATCAGATATTCTCATCTTCCCTCTATAATTGGGGTAATATGGTATCAACGCATGTGTTTTCATAAACATATTATTATAAAAATCCTTGAATACATATGTGCTTACATAAACAGGTTTGTTTCATAAAAGTTGGTATTGCAAAGCAGAGATCTTAACAAGTTCTACTCATAATGTATCAATGAGTATAGGACTGCATACATTCTACTTTATTTGCCTTCTAAATAAAGTATATTCTTAATTATTGCCACTTAATAAAGGTTGGGCAAGATCTTCTAGAAAGGATGTTTCCACAAACTAAAGTGTGTACTATCAACATTATTATTTAAATAGCTAGTGAAACCATCAAAATCTTACCACATTTACATGTTGCACCAGGAATCATCTCTGCTTTCCTCCCTGCAACTCAGTATTTTTGACACAATGTGAATTAGTGCACAGGAAGCCTCAGTGTTTCCTGGAGGGTTGCCCGCAGCTCACTGGCCTCAGAGAAAGTCATAATGTGTGTACAAACTTCTCTGGAATAACTTGAGCTTATTACATATAACTTCTGGTAGGTCATTTGCCCCCTCCGCTCTCCAAAAGAAAACCTCAGGCCTCTTAAATTAACTACAAGCCTTTTTGGGACTGAGCCATTATTTTACACAGCAAGGTTGTCAGAAAAAAAATAGCTTTAAGGATGATAGAAAGATCTTAGCATTTTCTGAAGCCTGAAACCTATGGGGGGAGACATCGCAGTCATTCCTGTCCTGATGGGACCTGGCCTGTCTTGTTTTGTTATCCATTGCTTACCCAGATGAGGTGATTTGTTTAAGAAAATCATTGGAGTCATTGAATTAAGCATCCCTGTATTTCCAGCTTTTAAAAGATTTTAAGTTAAAATACAACTTTTTAAATCTTTTATCCAGCGAACATTTGGTGATATTGTGTCTGTGTTTCGTGTGCACTTTGTTTTGTGTAGGATTTCTGTTTTATGTACTCTGTCCATTGCATGGCACACAATAGGTATTAAATATTTGGGGGATGAATGAGGAAATAAAGTTCAGGATAATTTCTATGGCATTTGGAAATTCTCGTGTAAAACCTAGGCACGTACAGTGTTCCCAAACAAGGGCCAAGTGAAAGCTGCAGTATTTGTTTGATTAATTACTAAGGAGCAGTCACTTTCCCTTCATGTATCCTGGACTTGTGGGGTCACAGGACCTACTGAAATAGTACTGTATAACGTCTGCTGGAGCAGCCAAGGGCTGGTGGCTGCAGGTCTCAGGAAGAGAACACAGAAGTAGCCATGGGCCCTGCTCCTGAGACAGGCCAGGGGTTGGCTCTGAACCCACCTTTGCCCCAGACGCTGATGAGCACAGAGGTGGTTGTCAGGGAAGCTGGCACATTGCCTGCAGGGGTCCCTGGCAGGTACAGATGTAGGGGAGGGCCCAGCTGAACCCACATCTGCTGTGAAGGCTTGCAGGAGTCTGCGCTTGCTGAGGGGGCCCTAGTTTTATTCCCTGGGTCTGAACTTGCTCTCAGTGGCCCTGTCTGCCTTCAAAATCCACCCGAGCAAGAGCTGGGCTTAGGGTTGGGGCCCCTTCCCCAGTCCCATTGTGGCAGGGTCAGGTTACTGGAGATAAGTCCTAGTCAGCACCTAGGCTATTAACAAGTTCGAGGGGCTGGCATATCCATGCTTGCTCTATGATAAAGTCAACAATTTGGCAGATGGTAACTAGACATTTCAGAGTTCCTTTAAAATGGTGTTAGTAAAGCCCATGATACGGTTTGGCTCTGTATCCCCACCCAAATCTCATCTCGAATTGTAATTTCCATAACCCCCACATGCCAAGGGCAAAACCTGGGGAGGTGATTGGATCCTGGGGGTGGATTCCCCTATGCTGTCCTCGCGATTGGGAGATCTCACGAGATCTGTTTTTTTGGTAACTGTGTTCCCTTCCTGCGACCTGCAGCCACCAGCCCTTGGCTGCTCTGTCAGATATTATATGGTACTATTTCAGTAGGTCCTGTCCTCCCCCTCGCACACCTCCCTCTCACCTGCCGCCATGTAAGATAGGCCTTTGCTTCCCCTTCGCCTTCTGCCATGATCATAAGTTTCCTGAGGTCTCCCCAGCCATGTGTAACTGTGAGTCAATCAAACTGCTTTCCTTTATAAATTAGAGAGTCTTGGGCAGTTCTTTATAGCAGCGTGAAAACAGACTGATGCAGCCCAGCGGTCCACAGAGGGGGAGCCCAGCCGTCCACACAGGGAGAAGGTGACAGTGCAAATGCTGCTGTCAGGGCTGCGCTGCCAACGAGCAGCCAGTCAGCACCACATGTGGGAAACCTCAGCTGTGTAGCCATTGAGGGGTCAGGGCTGCAATGCTGACAAGGAGTCAGTCAGCATCGCGTGTGGTGAACCTCAGCTGTGTGACCATCGTGGGGTTCAGCCATACTGTTCTCATTGAGCAGCCCATTTTCAAAGTCTGAAAAAGGATAACAAAATAATAGGACTGAAGTTTTCATAGTCAGTGCCTTGCATGAAAACTGGTGGTTGAGAATTCCTCAAGGAAAGCAGAAGTTGTTCTCCGAGTCAGCAGTGCTGTGCGGTGCAGAGCAGCGTTGGTGAGAAATGCCGGCATGCAGATAAGTAACACCATAGAAAATCCACATTCACAGCTCTCAGAAAGCTTGTTTTATCTATAATTAGCTGGCAGGACTCAACAAATGCGCATTGCCTCCTTAATTCGCCCACACAGCAGTAGCTTTTTTCAGGCCTGGGGTGTTACTGGGAAACGGTGAGTGGGGTCCTGGCTCATCCTGAGGTGTGCTGGAGCTGAGAGGAGGTTTTGTACTTGGGGATGGAGGTTGGGGCACGCTTGAGCCCAGAGTCTTGAGGTGAGCTGACTTCTTCATTGAAAAATTATATTCTCTGGGAAGGAATGGGCAGAAACTTCAGGTAAATGAAATGGAAGTCAGTCATCCCTTGACAGAGGTGCATCTCTGACGAGCCCCCTAAGAGAGAGCCCCCTGGGCAGCAGGGAGGAAGAAGCATGACTGCGCTGTGTTCTACACGTCCTGGTGGGGTCTGTCAGCAGGACCCCTGAGGGGAGGCAAGCATCTCCACTGGCGCCTGCTTCTGTGGCCCGGACTGCTGATTGTGAGTGGAATTAGTTCACTCAGGTGTGGAGATTCAAGGGGCTCTGAGGACTTCCTTCAGCTGAGGCATCTCCTGTTAGAGCCCAGTCATTCCCTGGGTGTACAGCGTGTCCCTGTCATCTGCTTCCCCACCCTTTGTGAAGAGACAACCAATGCCAAACAGCAGCAGCATCACTGCAGCCGGGGAAGCCAGCTGGATAGCAAGAGGTTGGGAAAACTCAAGTACTGTGTTTATGAAACGCATGACAGAGGCTGGATTCAGTGGCTCATGCCTGTAATCCCAGCACTTTGGGAAGTCTAGGTGGGTGGATCACTTGAGGAGTTTGAGGCCAGCCTGGGCAACACAGCAAGACCCCATCTCTACAAAAAATACACTGTTAGCCGGGTGTGGTGGTGCCTGCCTGTGGTCCCAGCTACCCAGAAGGCTGAGGTGGGAGGATCACTTGGCCCTGGAAGGTCAAGGCTGCTGTGAGCTGTGACTGCACCACTGCACTCCAGCACAGGCAACAGAGGCAGACCTGTCTCAAGAAAAAATTTTTCATCTCATGACATATGTTTTCCCTGTCCCAACCTATTCCAAAATAGCTAATTTTTTTTGGCGCTTGCATTTTGCATTTCAACTCCAAATGTATGATGAATGTTGCTTCAAGAAATTCTTCCTCTGCATCCCATCTGTATGGCGGAACTAGCCAGGTGCCCTAACATTACCGGACGCTTCTCTGCATGGTCTTACGTGTGTCAGAGGAGCCCTGGCTGCATGTTCAGCTTCTCTGGATCCAAGACATTGCTGTGTGTGGCAGGACTGATCCTCACTACGTACGGTTTGGATTCCTTGTATGAGCGTCTGGAAGAAGACAAGGTCTTGAGCTCGTTGCCGCAGCAAACAGTTCGCAAGTGAAGGACGCCTGCTTCTCCCTGTCCAGAGCTGCCCCATTGCTGATGAAGACAGACTGTGAAGTTGGTCAACAGAGAAGCAGCCGACACAGCAGAATGACCAGGAAGTAATGAGGGGTGTGGGAGGGGAGAGCCTGTATTCCTTCCCCTGCCTGCTGAATGTTAAAAATTTCCAAGGTGCAGAGTTGGCCTTCCATATTCGTGGGTTCTATAGCCCTGGATGCAGCCAAACTAAAAGTGAAAATATTCAGAAAGAAAAGAATGGCCTAACCTGTTCTGAACATGGGTAGACTTTTTCATTATTCCCTAAACAATACAGTACACCCACCATTTACATAGCACTCACGTTGTTTGGGGTATTGTGAGTAAGGTAGAGATTGATTGATTGATTGATTTCGAGGTGGAGTCTTGCTCTAGTCGCCCAGGCTGGAGTGCAGTGGCACGATCTCAGCTCACTGCAAGCTCCATCTCCTGGGTTCATGCCATTCTTCTGCCTCAGCCTCTGAAGTAGCTGGGACTACAGGCACCCGCCACCACACCTGGCTAACTTTTTGTATTTTTACTAGAGATGGAGTTTCACCGCGTTAGCCAGGATGGTCTTGATCTCCTGACCTCGTGATCTGCCCGCCTCGGCCTTCCATAGTGCTGGGATTACGGGTGTGAGCCACCGTGCCTGGCCTGTGGAGATTTTAAGTACAGCAGAGGGCACCGTGGGTTCTGTGCACTCAGCACTCACATTGTTTGGAGTATTGCGAGTAATGTAGAGATTTAAGTACATGGGAGGGCACCATGGGTTCTATGCACTCAGCACTCACATTGTTTGGGGTATTGCGAGTAATGTAGAGATTTTAAGTACACGGGAGGTCACTGTGGGTTCTGTGCACTCAGCACTCATGTTGTTTGGGGTATTGCGAGTAATGTACAGATTTTAAGTACACAGGAGGGCACCATGTGTTGTGTGTACTCAGCACTCACGTTGTTTGGGGTATTTGGGAGTAATGTAGAGATTTTAAGTACACGGGAGGGCACTGTGGGTTCTGTGCACTCAGCACTCACATTGTTTGGGGTATTGCGAGTAATGTACAGATTTTAAGTACACGGGAGGGCACCGTGGGTTCTGTGTAGTCAGCACTCATGTTTGGGGTATTAAGAGTAATGTAGGGATTTTAAGTACACGGGAGGGCATGCATTGGTTCTGTGTACTCAGCACTCATGTTGTTTGGGGTATTAAGAGTAATGTAGAGATTTTAAGTACACGGGAGGGCATGCATTGGTTCTGTGTACTCAGCACTCACGTTGTTTGGGGTATTAAGAGTAATGTAGAGATTTAAGTACATGGGAGGGCACCGTGGGTTCTGTGCACTCAGCACTCAACGTTGTTTGGGGTATTGAGAGTAATGTAGAGATTTTAAGTACACGGGAGGGCACCGTGGGTTCTGTGTACTCAGCACTCAAGTTGTTTGGGGTGTTAAGAGTAATGTAGAGATGTAAGTACACAGGAGGGCACCGTGGGTTCTATGCACTCAACATTTCTTCAGGTATTGCGAGTAATGGAGAGATTTTAAGTACACGGGAAGGCACCGTGGGTTCTGTGTACTCAGCACTCACTTTGGGGTATTGCAAGTAATGTAGAGATTTTAAGGACACGGGAGGGCACCATGGGTTCTGTGTACTCAGCACTCATGTTCTTTGGGGTATTGAGAGTAATGTAGAGATTTAAGTACATGGGGAGGGCACTGTGGGTTCTGTGTACTCAGCAGTCACATTGGGGTATTGCGAGTAAGAGAGATTTTTAAGTACACGGGAGGGCACATGTGGGTTCTATGTAAATGCTGAGCCATTTTCTATCAGGGACTTGAGCATCACAGACTTTGGGATCCTGACCCCTGGAACCCACCCCCACGGACACCAAGGGTGACTGTACTTCAGCATGCTTTATTTTTTTTTTTTTGTTCACTGAGAGAGTCGCTAGAAGAAACAGAATTTTTTCCACACAAACCAACATTCAAAACCTATAGTTTTTAGGGAGGAGGAGGGGAAGGATTTCAGGTTTTTTTCCTGCCCCTTCAAGCTATTAATAACACATTCCTCACCTTGTAGTTAATTTGTATGTGTGGTGAGAATACAGAAGATCCATTCTCTTACCCAGTTTCAGGCAGATGATGCATTGTTAACTGAATTTCAGGCAGATGGTACATTGTTATTAACTGTAGTTACCACACTGTACATTCGATCTCCAGAATTGACTCATTTTTTCTTGAAGTGTGTGCCCTTGACCAGCATCTCCCTGTTTCCCCTTCCCCAGTCCCTGCTAACCCCTATTCCACTCTGTTTCTACAAATTCTACTTTTTTAAGATGCCACATGTAAGTGAGATCATGCAGTATTTGTATTTCTGTGCCTGTTTTATTTCACTTAGCGTAATATCTTCCAGGTTTATCCATGTTTTTGTAAGTGGCAGAATTTAGTTCGTTAAGTTGAATAGTATTTGTTTTGTCCATACACCATGATTTCTCTGTTCATCCACTGATGGATGCGTAGGTCAATTCCACATCGAAGTGATTGTCAATAGTGCTGCAGTGGATGTGAGCATGCAGGTATCTCTCCCTTACACTGGTTTAAATTCCTTTGGATATTTACCCAGACATGGGATTGCTGGATCATAGAGTCCTGTTTCTAGTTTTGGAAGATGCTCCATGCTATTTTCCACAGCAGCTGTTCTGCTTTGCACTCCCACCAACAGCGTGCAAGGGTTCCCTTTGCTCCACATCTTTGCCAACACTGCAGAATTTACGTTTCTGATCCCCTTGGTTCCCCTGACATGGGCACAGGTGGCGTGACTGCTCACTACACCTCTCTCTGAGCTTTCCTTTCTCATGCTGCATATTGACTGGTTGAGCAGCCTCCTCATTACACCTCTCTCTGAGCTTTGCTTTCTCATGCTGCATATTGACTGGTTGAGCAGCCTCTTGGATTGCTTTGACTCTTGGTAGCTTTGACTTAAAAAGGCAACTGAGCAGAAAGCCGTAGCTACTATGCAGCTGCTTAAATGATTCTGCAGAGACTTAAAGTCAGACTCTGGGTGAGGGAGTGTGTGCTTCTAAAATAGGAAGATAATGCTTGATGTGTTGTGGAAAGTTGAGGCTCTGTTGGCCCCGGTGCTGAGGTCACTGCGCGCCTCTGACTCTGGTGTGAACACACAGTGACCATGGAGCTCTGTTGACAGAGATGTCCTCCTCCTGGGGTTTAGGACTCTGGACTGCATGCGCTTTTGTGTTTACTGAGGTTAGCCCACTTCTTTCTGCTGTCAAAGTGATTCCATCTTTGATAGCCTTAGCAGTTCTCTTGTTTCTCCAAAAGCACTTTCTGATGAAGAAGGGGGTCACATAGTGTGTGTTCATGACCATCCCCTGTGGCCCAGCACTCGGGATAGACCACTCTGCCACTCACCTCGGGGTGGTCCAGCGTGACTTTTCAGATCCTGGAAGTGACGTGGATTTTGTTTATTCCAGTTGTCCTCCTCCCCCTTCAGCAGGGCTGTGATATTCTCCCTGCTGGGGCATCTGAAGTGTCTCCTGTAGTTGGAGGTAGGACGGCGGCACTGGGCCAGGCGGTTCTGCACGATGACTTTGTTGCCACCAGTCTGGCCCTTGGCCAGATGCCTTGGGCATCTCGGACTTGCTGAGACTGTCATCTGTGAAACAAGGATGATAGTGCTTGTGGAGTGTTTAAATGACATAGTTGTCTGTAAAGTTGGCAGTAAGACCCCGACTTTGTAGGTGGATAATCGGCCTCCATCCTTTCTCCTGTCCACCTGTCCTCATGCTCATGTTCCCTCCCAATCCAAAGAAAAAACTCTGAGGGGGTCTCTCCCTCTGTCTGTCGGGAAGCGGAGGGTGGAGCGTGAGAGACTTGCTCTCAAGCCATGAGGCCCACGGCGGCCATCTGAGAAGAGCCCACAGCAGGCGGCGGGCCATGCTGGGTATTCTTCTACACGTCAGCTTCTCGATGTCCAGCTGGAAATAATGGAAGCTGGGCTTCATTGTCCCTACCTTGCCCCTTCTCGCTCCCCCCAACACCAAAAAATGTAAATACAACATCCACTGAAACCAACTTACTGCTGAGGCCTGAGATCTGCAAAATTGAGAATCAATGTCATGGGAAAGGGAAGTAGCTGTGTTTAATACGGCATAGTCTTCTCAGAGCTGTCTTTCTACAGGTCGGGTTTCTTTCCTTTTTGTGTGAAGGAGGGATTTCTAACTCCCAGGACACACTGGAGAAATTATGCTTGCCTGAAGAGTTTTTAGCAAGTTATGACAGCGGTTTTGTGTGAAACTGGCATGTTTAAATCTTCCCACTGGCCAGGATGACTGCTGGGGCATCTCCGGGGACCTCGTGCAGAGCCCCCAGTCTTGCCAGGGACTGGAAGGGAGGGGGTGTTTCGAGGCTGCAGTAGGACAGGAGTCTCCTCAAACTCACAAAGCCTCTGCTCCGCGCGGCACACTGCACACGTGCTTTGAATTTTAAAAAATTCCATCGGCATTCATATTTCTAAGCCCTTCAGGGACTGTTAATACTACATTATTCTCTTTTAACATCAGAAGCTTATTTTCAAGACCACTGCGGTGGTGTGAACTTCTGTTGATCTTTCACCTGTTCTTTTGATCCATGTGTTACAAATAGAATGGATTCCAAACATGCTGTTTCCTTTAATCCCCTTTCTAACTGGAGTTCTTAACGTACCAAAGAGAAGAGCTACAGGGGACAATACAAATTTAAAACCAAAAAGGTAAAACTCTAAGTGACCTTGTCCACCTGCCTGGCCCGAGTAAGATCTTACTGCAACAGCATGTCTAAAATGTGTTTCTTTCCTGCTCCTACCGTTAATTAAATATTTGTGTGCGTGTGTGTGTTGTTTGAGACAGGGTCTTGCTCTGTCGCCCAGAGTGCGGGGCGCTAGGCACTAAATAACAATAAATAATGTTTTTTATTAAGCAAAAAGCTCAGGTGAATGTATGAATCCTAGTGCAGGCTTTATGTTTACCCTGGCACCTTATTTAAAAGATCTTTATGGAATTTAAGCTGCCGATGCTTGCACTGGAAATGTGGCAGGGGCTTGTGAGAATGAGGGGGTGATGGGCACAGCAGGTGCAGGTGGAGCCATGGCAGAGCACGGGTGGCCAAGGCGGCAGGGCCAGGTTGGGAAGGACTTGGAGGCCCTGTGGGGAGTTTGGTCACAGCCCAAACAGCAGGGAGAAGCCTCCAACGCAGTTTGGGGAGAGAGGCTCACCACGTTTGCATTCTTGCAGCGACCCTTCTGTCTGCTGTCTGGGGTATGCCTGGGGCAAGGAGCCTCAGCCCCAGAGCTGGAGTGTCTCCGACACGGGGGCCCGCGGCGTCTGGGGTCCCTAGATGGTGGTTGACATCAGAGCAGAGCAACAACTGGGTTCTCAGGGGTCAGGATTTTGAGATTCCTCTTAGCCCCTGTTTTCTGGGGTCGGGATTTTGAGATTCCTCTTGCCCCTGTTTTCTGGGGTCGGGATTTTGAGATTCCTCCTAGCCCCTGTTTTCTGGGGTCAGGATTCTGAGCTTCTTCCTAGCCCCTGGTTTTCTGTGGTCCATCTTCTTTGCCTCCCTCCCCTGACGGGGCGATACCTGTGGCCCTGCAGGGTGCACAGCAGGTCTGTGTTCATGAGTCCTCCCATCAACTTGGACGTCTCTCATGAATTGAATGTGAAATAGATACTGAATGAATGCTTGTTGAACTTTTTTTAAAGATTTTCTTGTGTCCTTAGTGCTTTGAGACCTTCACATCCTGTGTGTTTGATCTCTCCATCTGCGGCAGCAAGTAGATAGGTGCTATCTCCAATATTTTATCCATGAGAAAAATGCGACCCACACTAGTTAGCTGGCCCATGGGGGACCCTGCTGTGCTCAGCTTGCTGGGGTGAGAGGACATCCCAGGTCCTCCTGCCCCTGTCCCCAGTGCAGGCGAGGGGTACACACAGGAGCTGTCACCGGTCTGCAGCGCCTGCTGGAGAACGAAGAAGCCTATCGGAGATTTAAAAACGAGGCTGCGGCCTTGCCTTCCGGGGCCTCCTGGCTCCTTATAAAGCAATAGGCTCAGAGCAGCAGCACCAGGGCTCCTGACAGCCGTAGAATTCCCAACATGGAAACGATTGCTTTGTTATATAAACTATTAATTCCAGCATTAAATAGTCTCCTGACACTGCACATGGAAACCGCCACTGCCGAGTGGGTCTGTGTGCTTGGAGCTGAGCCACGCTGTGGAAGCAGCTCTGTGGCCCGTTTCTTTCATCCCCTAGGGTCACGCGGCTCCCAAGTGTCCGTGTCTTGAGCCTGACGTTCACAGCACTGGCTCTGCACTGGTTCCAGTTGGGCCAGATTGGCTGGTGCGTGCCTGAGGCCGAGAGGAAGCCACAAGGGCCGGGTGTCTGTCTGTTCTGTCATCTTAACCCTGCGTTTGCCAGGCAGACCTTTCCCTGCTTTTGTAAGATTGGGTTTTGCCCTGAAACTCTGGATTGCAACATAAGTGAGAAAAAGAATTGTTCCCTTCAGGGAGGGAAAGAAGCATCATCCCTCAGTCTCATTCGACCTTCTGCTGGTGACTTTGCCTCACTGGGGTTTTCACTTCCAAAGTAGGACTTGTGTGTAAATCTCTCCTCTTTGTGATTTTAATTTCTGCTTCTGAAATTTTAATTCTTACGGAAAGTCTCTGAGAATAACATAAGTGGCGTTTTTTTAATGAAGTAGAAAATGTTTCTAAAGAGATCACTTATTTTTCTCACTGAGGTTACAATTACTGCATTTACTTTTCTGTCATAAAGTGAAAAGGAAATTAAATAAATGGGTACCTTGATGTGGAAGCAGGAAAATATGCTGTTTGGAATTTTACGTGGAAAGCGCTCTGGCAGGGGCTCCTGTGGTTCACATTCTCTGACAGCAGCCTTGAGGGTGTGCCTTAGACCCAGCCTCCCGGAGGGCCTCCCCGGAGACGGGAGTTGACTTTCGAAATAGCCTTGGATGACGTTCCCATCGCTTCCAGGTTTGGGGAAATATGAACAAGCAGGCTGTGAGCAGTGGATACGCCTAGCGGGATAACAGACACGTGATGGCCCCAGCTTAGAAACGTGGGGAAGGATGTGCCCTCTTTCGGAGCATTTGCGCCTTTAGTTTACGTAGCTGCATGCTGATGACCACATGCCCTGATGGACGCAAGGTGAGAGGGAGAGAAGAGAGGCAGGAATTAATTGATCATTCAGCCTGAACCAATGTGAAATGGAGGAAGCCCCAGGCACCGTCAGAGCCACCGTGTCCCTGGTGTGAAATGGAGGAAGGCTCGGGCACTGTCAGAGCCACCGTGTCCCTGGTGTGAAATGGAGGAAGGACCAGGCACCGTCAGAGCCACCATGTCCCTGGTGTGAAATGGAGGAAGCCCCGGGCACTGTCAGAGCCACCGTGTCCCTAGTGTGAAGGTGGAGGAAGCCCCAGGCACCGTCAGAGCCACCGTGTCCCTGGTGTGAAATGGAGGAAGGCTCGGGCACTGTCAGAGCCACCGTGTCCCTGGTGTGAAATGGAGGAAGGACCAGGCACCGTCAGAGCCACCATGTCCCTGGTGTGAAATGGAGGAAGCCCCGGGCACTGTCAGAGCCACCGTGTCCCTAGTGTGAAGGTGGAGGAAGCCCCGGGCACCGTCAGAGCCACCGTGTCCCTAGTGTGAAGTGGAGGAAGCCCCGGGCACCGTCAGAGCCACCGTGTCCCTAGTGTGAAGTGGAGGAAGCCCCGGGCACCGTCAGAGCCACCGTGTCCCTAGTGTGAAGTGGAGGAAGCCCCGGGCACCGTCAGAGCCACCGTGTCCCTAGTGTGAAATGGAGGAAGCACCAGGCTCTGTCAGAGCCACTGTGTCCCTAGTGTGAAATGGAGGAAGCACCAGGCACTGTCAGAGCCACCGTCTCCCTAGTGACAGCGTGGCATTGATTGAAGGTCAGGCCTTGGGCCCAACCCAAGAAGCTGTTCAGGGAGGATACTGTGTAGTCAGCCAGCTAGCTTCTGCCTGTCAGTCTCTCACCTCCCACCACCTGCCATCTGTCCATCATCTCTGTCGTCTGTCTATATGCATCATCTATTATCTACCTGTCACCTATGACCTGATTGTATTCGCACGGGAAACATTGGTTCTTCAAAATAAAGGACGGCATGTAAAAGTGCTGCTAGAAGGTTTGCTCATGTAAACCTGCAGCGAGTCTATCATGGGAATCTGGTGGACCTCTGTCTACCAGATGCTGAGGCAGTCCAGAGTTAAAAATAACTGGACTTTTTCCATGAAAACGTAGCAGGAGTTTGTGAGCCATGAGCTTTGGGGCCTGAGTGAGCCTGGTCTCAGGGCCGTGGCATCCAGCGCTTCGGCTTTGGGGTAGCATGCACATCAAGCCGTCGTCTTCTGCATTTTGGGATAGAATCATCGTAAGTTTCCCCTTTGCCCGCCCCCCAGTAACTGAACAGGTAAATGATCACCCCGCGTCTGCCCAGGTCTTCAGCGCACTCCCAGCCAGTCACTTACCTGCAGGTCTCTCTGCGTCAGGCACAGACGTCTGTGTGTGTGGTACATGTGGTACACGCAGGAGCACCCTGGCTTCAGTTTGTAAGACAACTGGGTTGGGGCACAGTTCTATGGGACATTGTCTGGTTTTAAGGATAACTGTGCATGTGTGTTACAAATAAACCATGAACAGTCATCCACGACATCACGCAAGCTACAGCGTGTGATTTATGCCGTGGGTACCCAGAGGCGTCATCCATGCAGGGCAGGGGCTGGGAGAGGGCAAAGCAGGAAGTAGAGTCCCGTTTCCTTCGGAGAAGGGCACTTCCCAGGCAGGTTATGGAGTCAGGAGGATGTACGGGGCGTGAACATGCGAGGAAAGCCCAGGAAGCCAGGGCTGCGGCCTCTGGGCACCACACCAGCTTTAGAGTGGAAGACTCTAGGTGTGGTTTTCATGGGACATGGTTTTGGAGCTGGACAGAGTTTTGTCTTAGATTTGTGGTCCTGGGTGAGGAACGTGAGTACCATTTGTGCCTCAAATTCTCATCTGTAAAATAAGTTCTTATAAGGATTAAACACTTTCATCTTTGGGGATGGGCCAGCAAACCCTCCTGTGAAGAGCTGCACTGAACTGTCTTGCCTTGCAGCTCGGCAAGGAGCAGGCCGTGAGCACAGAGCGTGTCTCCAGAAGTGGCCTGGAAGCTGGGCTCAGCCTCGAGACTTAGTTCCCAGACCCTGGTTTGGGGGAAAATGCGGGGCATGGAAGTTACTCAGTGCTGCCACCCTTTCCCACCTCCTAGGTTTTGAGAGATGATAGTAACCTAGGATTTATTAAAGTCTTGTCTGGAAATTTTCTTTGCTGATTGACTGGGGGCTCGATTTAAATCAAGCACGTGCACATGTGGCTGCTTCTGTGGTTCAGATTTTGGACATTGTTTGTAAAACGGGTTAACAAGGCATTTCCAAAAGCAACTGAGCGTCTCCGTAGTGGGCAGCTGATGGCTGCCGGTGTGGAGTGCCCGGCAAGCTTTAACATTTCTGCAGAAATTGTCCTTTGTTGTCAGTGGCCAGCTACCTAGTTAGCATCGGCTGGGCACGGTGGCTCACGCCTGTAATCTCAGCACTTTGGGAGGCTGAAGTGGCAGATCATGAGGTCAGGAGATGGAGATCATCCTGGCTAACATGGTGAAACCCTGTCTCTACTAAAAATACAAAAAATTAGCCGGGCGTGGTGGCCAGCGCCTGTAGTCTCAGCTACTCGGGAGGCTGAGGTAGGAGAATGGTGTGAACCCAGGAGGCGGAGCTTGCAGTGAGCTGAGATCACGCCACTGCACTCCAGCCTGGGCGACAGAGAGAGACTGTCTCAAAAAAAAAAAAAAAAAAAAAAAAAAAAAACACTCATTGATGGGCGGATGCGGGTTCCGTGTCATTTGGTTCTTGGCTCCGTGTTGAGACGTCAGCCTTGTGTTCCGTGGGGGAGACGAGAACCTGTATCATGAGCTGTGAGTTGGTGGAGGCAGCCGTGGAGGCAGAGGCAGCATCCGAGACTGCCCGCCTTTCACTAGGAAAAGTGAGTTGACCAGCTTGTGTGTGTACCTTGATAACTTTTCATTCATTTGCTATATTTTTGTTAAAGCTTGAATTTTTCACTCTTCTTGGAATTATGGTTTGATCAGTCTTAGAAAACAATACAACAGATCCAAAAAAATGAACAGCGAATGAGTATTCTGTGTGTGCTGGAGCTTGTGAATGGGAAGGGCCTCTGTGTGTCGATGAGGTGGCTTTGTCCTGTGTGCTTGCGCTGGCTCCAGGAAAGGCATGGCTGCTGCGCGTCCGTGGCTGTCTGTGAGCTTTAACATGTGGATTCTTGCCTCACCACAAGCACCTTTCTCTTGTCTTCTGGATTTCTGCAGGTTTCACACCTTTTGCTTCTTCCCTTAGCCTTTGTCACTCCTTTTTCAAAAACACTGTGGCGGCTTCAAGTCCTTGTGACCGACCTGCTTGGTTAGAAAACATCTTGTTAATGAAGAAGATGCCAATAGGTGCTGGTGTCGGCCATCCCGGCCCTGGCAGCTGCAGGATCTGTCGTTGACTGAGTTAACGAGAGCCCCGGCCACCAGGCTTGGCTTCCTGTGCCAGCGGGTGGGGATGAGATGGCAGGGGTCTAACCCTGGACCCCATCCGGATAAATACAGAAGGGGCCAGAAACAGGCGTGTGTTTAACAAATGAGTTTTAGTGACTTACATGCTGTGGGCTTTTGTTCGAGAGCAGGGGAGGAACTGAAGTTGTTTGATGTGCAGTGCTTGCTTTTAAAATTCTAACAATGAGGCACACAGAAGATACTGTGATAACTGTGTCTTCTTGGGCACCGTTGAATGATAATGCTCTATCCACGGAGACCATACTGAACTTCATTTTCCTTCTCTTGCAGGTGACATCACACAAAAAGGATATGAAAAGAAGAGGTCAAAGTTAATTGGAGCCTACCTTCCGCAGCCTCCGAGTAGGTAACCCCCATGAGTAGCATGAGTCCTCTCATTTCCCGCATTCACTATGTGCCAGAGAAACATCTGGAGGCAGACGCTCCCTTGCTTCCCAGTCGGCAGGAGGAGGCGTCTGGCGTTCACCCTCCAGGCATTCAGTTCCTTTGAGTGATCACACGTGCTGTGTGAATATACAAGGCACAGAGGATTTTTCTATAAGTGTGCCTAATAGGTGTTTTCTCTATAAGTAGAGATCGGTATTGGGTTGGTTACTTTAAAATGCTATAATCGTAAAAATATGAGTGCATTAGTGATTTCAACATATTTGGTTTAGAGAGCTATTTATTACTATTGATTCTGGTTTAATCCAAGGCTTCTGTTGGTGGCACAGGCCAAATCTAGACAGTGCTGTGATACCCCGCCCAGGACTTGGCAATCGTGAAAGCTGGTTGTGTGTTGAGATGTGGTTGCAAACATCCATGATGATTCTTGAGAAGGGCAGTCGGTTTCCCGCCAGCGTTTCTACGTGTGCAGATTGGCAGCTTTCCTGCACTTGAGCTGGGTTCTGTAAATGTCAGGAAAAAGAATCTCATATTAGATGGGGATTCTAGCACCTCAGTTCCCAGCTGGCAAGCTCAATTCAGCCCAAGAGCGACCTTGAAAATTTGGTAGGCTTGAGGAATGGCTTAAAGCTAACACAAGCAGTTTCTTCCTCAAACATAAAGGCTAGCAACATAAATTTTAAAGGTGGAAATTGAACTTGCATAGTTCTTACCATTGAAAGAAGATTTTAGAAGGTTTAAGGATGCACATGTCCACACCTGCACAAACCCCGATTCTGTTCTTCCCGAGGCCCGTCCGGGTCCTGTTGACTCAGTAAGGAAAGTTTCCTGAGGCTCAGGCTGCAGGAAACGGTGTGGAGATTCTGCTATTGGTAGTTTTGTTTTCATTTCGTGTTTTTCTTGCCTTGATTTTTGAGACAGTGATGTAACAGTGAACATGTTTCTGTGGACCTTGCTTAGCAGAGGCTTAAGTCAGGGATAGACGCCGAGGAACCCGAGAGAAGGGGAGCAGAGGGCTGGGCTGGAATGCTGGGGCGAGAGGCTTCAGGGCAGTGCTGGGTAGATCCCCTGATGGCCTGCGCCCCCTCCCTCATTCTCTTCTCGCAGAGCCATGGGGCGACAGCTGCCCCCGCCCTGTCCCTGTGAGTTCCCCTCTGCAGGTGCCCTCATGTGCTGCAGAAGGTGGGGTCTGACTGTAGGCCACGGACGCTGTTGGTTTTAACTTTCTTGCCTTGCCAAACAAAAGTGAAACAGAAGCGGTTCCTCGCTTGCCAGGACGGTTCTCCAGCGCACCGTGCCTCCCGCGGTGGCCCTGGCCTTAGCCGGGCGCAGAGGGCGGTCGTGCCCTGTGGTCCCCTTGGTGGTCTGTGTGCTGTCCTGCATGGGGTCGGCAGCTCTGCTCAGCGCTGTAACAAATTTAAAAAAAACTAAAGTTTGAATTAATTAGTTTTTTTTCAACTTGTTACAGCAGCGAATGGAGCTGCCGTGGTTCGGTGTAGACTGCAGCACAGTGAAGGAGCGCCGAGGAGAACATTCCGCTCTGCCCACATCGGGGTGTGCGACGTCCGAGAAGCTGCGGCTCGGGAGCGGGTGGCCAGCACCGCAGGGAACCGGCCTCTGTTTTACTTTCGTTTCGGTGAGCGCTGCTTTGCTGAGAGCCAGCCCCACAGCAGGGTACACATTAGAAAAGGGCCACCCGCCGAGTGCCATCCCGTACAGACGTGTAGGGTGTGGCCTTGGGGGCCTGAGGGTCCCATTCTCCAGTGAGCCAGGTCGCTCCACAGGCCCAGAGCTCGCCAGAGACCAGGTCTGTCCCTGTGAATCAGGGCCCAGTTCTGCGTTTCCTATTGAAGTAGAACGTTGCTTTTACAATTCCCCTTTCTCAGTTGGGCACCACTTAGAAAACACTTAAGAAGAATGCGTGACAAATTATAAAACTTCTTAAAGCCACTGGTATTCTACAGACTTTCATCTTATAGCCAAAGACCCAATTAAAGGATGAGCTGATGGGTCTTGGCCTCTGAGATCTGCTAGAAGGAGTGATTTTGAGATTTCCATCTCCAAAGAGCAAAGTAAGGGTTTTTGAAATAGAAAAAGCAGTTAATCATAGAGTATGTTCTTAGAGGTAAGGATTCTGTTCAAAGGTAAGAATTACTTTGGCGGACAGTATTTTGAATACAGGAATTTCATGATGCAAAAAGGGAGTTCAGTGCATTTTCCACCAGAATGAAGAAAATCATATGCAGGTGGAAGTTTTAGGTTCGTGTTCAGGGTTACACTTCAAAATGTGTTTTAAAATCACATACAAGGCCGGGGGTGGTGGCTCACGCCTGTGATCCCAGCACTTGGGGAGGCTGAGGAAGGGGATTGCTTAGGTCCAGGTGTTTCAGACCAGCCTGGGCAACAAAGGGAGTCCCCGTCTCTACAAAAGAAAAAATTAGGCATGATGGTGGGTGCCTGTGATCCCAGCTATATGGGAGGCTGAAGCAGGAGGATTGCTTGAATCCAAGAAGTCAAGGCTGCAGTGAGCTATGATTGTGGCACTGTGTTCCAGCCTGGGGGACAGAGCGAGACCCTGTCTCAAAAAAAAAAAATTGGTAAAATGAAGTCATAGAGGCAAACTTTATTATTACAGTTGGCCACTGGGGTCTCAGAAGAGGACACCCCGCCTCGCCTCCTGGCCTCCACTGCGTTCCTCCTCTCTGGGCCCTCTCAGGAGCCCTCTCTGGGCTGATTCCCTCGCACCCTCTCAGGAGCAAGGGGCAGAGCTGATGAGAAGGCGACAGGGCTGGGTTTTAGCCACGAGGTCCATTTCAGAATTTATCTGCCGGAAACGTGAGGAAAACAGGAGAAGGACGGCCCGGGCCGCCTGATTGAGGCCCAGACACCAGACTCAGGATGGGGGGACTCCGGACAGCGGTGCTAGGGCCCCAGCGAGGCTGTTTCCCTGCCGACCTTCATTTGGAGACGTTGCTTGTGACACGCAAGTGTGCACCATGTGCAGCTGTCCTGGGAAGCAGCAAGGAACGCAGACGTTTCCAAAGCCGAGGCTGCTTTCTTGGTTGGCCCCATGGGACGTGACTTCCTTTGTGCAGGATCTTCGTGGAAAACATCTTTCTTTCTTGTTCCCCTGTGCTGCTGCGCACTTGCCTGTAAGGGGTTTGTGTTCTGATTAACTTCCACCCTTTTTTCCTAACATTTACATTCCTATTCCTCCAGAAACTATTCTAAAAGTGTTTCTAGGATGTTGTTTGGGATGCAGAATTACGAGCTACAATGGGGGTTCTGTTCCCTAGGCCAGCCAGGCACGTCCCAGCTGCTCAGGAGGGCAGCGTCTGTCGGGGCCTCCAGTCGGGATTCAGAAGTGAGCGTTGGTGCTGAGCACCTGCCTAAATCTAGTTGAGGAAAAGACTGTCCGGAGCCAGGAAGAAATGTGAGTTATACATGCAGTGAAAGAAGGGTCAGAGAGGGTGCCTGGAAGATCATCTTCAGGGAGAAGACGCTGCTTAGGGAAGCTGCCCACTTCGCTCTCACCCTTCTGCGGTTCAAACCCATCCCTCATCAGTCTCTAAGCCCAGTCAAAGTTGTAAACCTAGGAAATAAAATCCACTGCCTGGCAGCCTCTTCAGAGAGATCTTAATAACAGTGTCGACTTGGATAACAAGGCCTCACTGCTTGTATGACACAGGCCGTGGAGATTTAGAGAGTAAAATTTCAGTGTGGCTATAAATGGTGGAACCTTCTTTGCTCAGATACAGCTCCTCTTTCTCACAGCAACTTCTTATGTGTTTGTCTGTGAAATGTTTCTTGGTATTGAGTGATTTATGAAGATCTGGTATTCCTCTCCAAGCCCAGCTTGCTTTTCCTTCAATAGCCGGACAGCTTGATGCCCAGGTGCAAGTTACAAGGACTCTGTAAGGGGGTTTGTCTGTGCGGCACAGCCTCTCTCCATGAGGTCACGTGAGCGGCCTCTCCAGGGAAGAGGTATCCGTGGTCAGTGTGAGTTAAGCCCCACACTTTTTCCATCATGGGGTCGCGTGAGCAGCCTCTCCAGGAAGAGGCCTCCCATGGTCAGTGTGAGTTAAGCTCTACACTGTCTGCACCGGAGGCCTCTGGCCTGCAGGCTTGCACTGTGCTGTCCAACTGTTGAGTCAAATCACAAATACGGACTTGTCTCAGTTCCTCCCTGCTACCAGGGCTCCCGATGGCCACGCCGCTGTCCCTCCCGACAGCCATGCCGCTGCATCCACATGAGGAACTCTGCTCAGGCCGTGCACTTGGCCGTGTCCAGGTGGCATTTAAAGCTCAGTTTGGATGCTCTGTCCTGAGGGATTTCTCCCCTGATCCTTCAGTCAGACCATCCGGATTCCCATCTCCATGTCGTCCTGTCTCTGAAATACCACTGTCATAGTTGGGTGGTGGTTACTAAACGCTAAGTCTCCACCCCAACCCCCAGCAGCAGTATGTAAATCACCTGAGGCCCCGGCTGCCTGCTCACGGAAAGTGGACATTGGGCAGGTATTTGCTGTATGGATGTGTGGGTGCGGCACGGAGGGGCTGAGTCTGCCTGTGGGGGTGGGCCGGGGCAGCCCTCACTTCCCCCCGCCCCACTGAGTGACCGTCCCTACCGTGGTACGAGGATGGATGTGCAGTGTCCCTGAGGGCAGACGCCACCGTGTCCGCATGATGCTCAGATCCACGTGAAGCCCTGAACAGGCACCGGAGACCTTCCACTGCCTCAGGTGTCTATCTGGGCTGCAGTTTTATTTTTATTCTTGATTTGGGTAAATTTAAATGGCAGATGGTAACATGTAAGGGCTAATTAATGACTGAAATGACAGAGGGTAACATGTACCTCAGCACCATCCAATCAGTGGAATTTTATTATCTTTTCAGAACTTGGCTCCCATCCCAGTGTTTGATCCTGTGACTGGATCACATGTTCTCATGAGAACAGCTGCTCTGGCCTGAGTGCTGTTGCTTGCAGTGGCTGCCTTGCCCTGTCGCCACGGAGAGGGCTTCCTCTGAGGTCCCGTTGCAGATTCTCCCACTGGGCTTTGACAGTTGTGAGGGAGGAGGTCCCTGCAGTTGGCATTTGTGAATTTTGCACTTTGGTTACATACGGAATGAGAAAGTTTCTTAAGTACGTAAATGCCATTTTGTTCTGTCGTCTTTAGAAGACGTGGCTGGCTGGCCCTGGCCTGTTCACCTGGGCTGGCCGTTGGTTGTTCTGATTCCTCGTGTCAGCAGAGGCTGTGCTTTCCCGGGGCAGGTGCGCAGTGGGTCCGTATTCTTGTTGTGCCATGAGAGTTACAGTCTGGTGACCCCAAGGCAGCGCTTCCTAGACGTGCTGGGGAGGGACCGCCTCCTCACCTGGGCTGGAGGGTCCCGGGGACCTGTCCCGGGCAGGTTGCCTCCACTTAGGGTCTCAGGCCATGTGGCAGCTCACAGGGTAAGGGTGTTTTAAACTTAAATCCCAGAGGAGGGGAAACGTGGGTGTCCAGATGGCATTGCCTGTGACATAGCGTGAATCTTTCTAGACCGCGTTGCTGTAGTGACAGGTGAATCACCTGTGTTCCAGATCAGCCGTGCTCCCGTCGGCACTTCACAGGGTACCACGCTTAGCTGCCGGAGACGTGTTCTGCCACAGGGAGCTGTCAGTTTGATCCCGTACGTTTATTTCCTGGTCTTTTCAGCAACATTTAATGAATCGCATTCCTCGTCTTAGGCGCCAGCCGCTATGGAGGGAGTGCAGCTGAGCCTACGCCATGCGGTGTGTCTCCAGTGGGGAGGGTAGCACCCACTTTGGAACTGCTCACGTGGGTTTTGTGAAAAATCCGAGGTGTAAGCAAAGTGCAGAAACGTGAAGGCCCGGTCCTGATGGTGAGATTGGCATCTCATCCAAGGAGCGTGGACTGGAGCTCGGGCTGGTAGATGAGACCGTCATCCAGTGAGCATGGACCAGGGCTCAGGCTGGCGGGTGAGACTCATCCAGTGAGCGTGGACTGGGGCTCAGGCTGGTGGATGAGTCTTATCCAGTGAGCATGGACCGGAGCTCAGGCTGGTGGATGAGACCCTCATCCAGTGAGCATGGACCGGAGCTCAGGCTGGTGGATGAGTCTTATCCAGTGAGCATGGACCCCGGAGCTCAGGCTGGTGGATGAGACCCTCATCCAGTGAGCATGGACCGGAGCTCAGGCTGGTGGATGAGACCCTCATCCAGTGAGCATGGACCGGGGCTCAGGCTGGCGGGTGAGACTCATCCAGTGAGTATGGACCGGGGCTCAGGCTGGCGGGTGAGACTCATCCAGTGAGCGTGGACCGGAGCTCAGGCTGGCGGATGACACTCATCCAGTGAGCGTGAACCGGGTCTCAGGCTGCCGGATGAGAACCCTCATCCAGTGAGCGTCGACTGGAGCTCAGGCTGGCGGGTGAGACTCATCCAGTGAGCATGGACCGGGGCTCAGGCTGGCGGGTGAGACTCATCCAGTGAGCATGGACCGGAGCTCAGGCTGGCGGATGACACTCATCCAGTGAGCGTGAACCGGCTCTCAGGCTGCCGGATGAGAACCCTCATCCAGTGAGCGTCGACTGGAGCTCAGGCTGGCGGATGAGATGCAGACGTCAGACTCTCCCGTCCCTGGATCACTGACAATTTCCAGTGTATGAGTCCCTAATCAAGTTAAAACATTATAATAGGAAAAGGGTTGCTAAGCAAATATATACTGATGTGTGGCAAAGATTTGGGCTCATGAAAGATGGATAGAAAGGAGGACAGTGTGGGGACGGGCGCATTGGCTCATGCCTATAATTCCAGCACTTTGGGAGGCTGAGGCGGACAAATCATGAGGTCAAGAGTTCAAGATCAGCCTGGCTAACATGTTGAAACCCCATCTCTACTAAAAAATATTAAAAATTAGCCAGGCATCGTGATGGGTGCCTGTAATTCCAGCTCCTCGGGACGCTGAGGTAGAAGAATCACTTGAACCTGGGAGGCAGATGTTGCAGTGAGTGGAGATTGCGCCATTGCTCTCCAGCCTGGCAACAGAACAAGACTCCATCTTAAAAAAAAAAAAAAAAAAAAAAAAGCAGTGTGAGAATTCATGGGGTTAGGGCAGGTGCTTAGAATGGAATTTCAGTCTTACCATTGTATGATGTTCCCATCCCAGTGAATACAAGGAAAATTATTAAATTTCTTACCAGTGTTTACAACAGTTGTCCTGTTTGCTTTCTGGCAAAGTCCTTGATTGCACTTATTTTAGAAAGTTTTACGATGTGAACAAGAGCATGTAATTGAGACCTGGAGAGAATGGGACTGGATTTAGAAACTGCTCTGGGACAGACCTGAAAATACAGAAAAATCCCCGGCAGTTTCACTAAGGGCCCAGAGCAGGCTTCTCCTGCAGGACACTCCTGTGGAGGCCTCTGTGGAGCCCAGAGCGCTTGCCCCTGGGTGCTGGGGAAGGAGGGCAGGAGAGCCTCTTGGCCCTCCTCTCCTCCTCCCTCCCTACCCCTCTCTTCCTCCCCCTATCTTCTCTGGGAGCTAAGGTGAGCCATAGAGACGTTGCTATCTGCACCCCCAGCACGCCCGGACACGCGATGAGTGAGAATAAGATGGGAATTTGGATGTATCTGCACGCCTGGACACGCGATGAGTGAGAATAAGACGGGAATTTGGATGTGTCTACACCCCCAGCACGCCCGGACACGAGATGAGTGAGAATAAGACGGGAACTTGGATGTGTCTACACCCCTAGCATGCCCAGACACGGGATGAGTTGAGAATAAGATGGGAATTTGGATGTGTCTGCAGCCCCAGCACGCCCGGACACGGGATGAGTGGGAATAAGACAGGAATTTGGATGTGTCTACACCCCCAGCATGCCTGGACACTGGATGAGTGAGAATAAGATGGGAATTTGGGTGCATCTGCACCCCCGGCATGCCCGGACATGAGATGAGTGAGAAAAAGATGGGAATTGGGGTGTGTCTGTACCCCCAGCATGCCCTCCCCGTCTGCCCCTCCCCTCCCCCCCTCCCCTCCCCTCCCTTCTTCTCCCCTCCCCTCCCCTCCCTTCTTCTCCCCTCCCCTCCCTTCTTCTCCCCTCCCCTCCCCTCCCTTCTTCTCCCCTCCCCTCCCCTCCCTTCCCTTCTTCTCCCCTCCCCTCCCCTCCCTTCCCTTCTTCTCCCCTCCCCTCCCCTCTCCTCCCTTCTTCTCCCCTCCCTTCTTCTCCCCTCCCCTCCCCTCCCCTCCCTTCTTCTCCCCTCCCCTCCCCTCTTCTCCCCTCCCCTCCCTTCTTCTCCCCTCCCCTCCCTTCTTCTCCCCTCCCCTCCCCTCCCCTCCCTTCTTTTCCCCTCCCCTCCCTTCCCCTCTCTCCTTTTCCCCTCCCCTCCCCTCCCCTCCCCTCTTTTTTCCTCTTCTATCTTCTCTTCTACTTTCTGTTCCCTTCCTTCTCTTTTCTTTCCTTCTTTTCCTTCCTTCTTTCCCTCTCTTTTCCTGTCTTTTCTTTCCCTCTCTTTTCCTTTTCTTCTCTCTCGTTTTCTTCTCTCTGCTTCCTTCACTTCTCCTTTTTTCTTTCTCCCTTCTCCTTCTCTCTTGTTTTCCTTCTCTTTCCTTCCTTCCCTTCTTTCTCTCT
Source organism: Homo sapiens (assembly GCF_000001405.40). Classification (NCBI taxonomy): domain Eukaryota; kingdom Metazoa; phylum Chordata; class Mammalia; order Primates; family Hominidae; genus Homo; species Homo sapiens. The sequence continues at coordinate 477,780 of NC_000010.11, read as the reverse complement.
CCTTCTTTTCCTTTTTCTTCTCTCTCCTTTTCTTTCTCGTTCTTTCTTTCCTTCTCTTTCTTCTCTCTCCTTTATTCTTTCCTTTTCTCCGCTTTCCTCCTATCTATTCACCACTTCCTGTTCATCTATTTTTCTTCTCTTCCTCCCACCCATCCACCTTCCTCCCACCCATCCACCTTCCTCCCTCCCCATCTCCCACCTATGCACCTTCCACCCATCTACCTTCCTTTCCCCCTTCCTCCCCTCATATCTCCCACCCATCCACCTTCCTCCCCACCTCCCACCTCCCACCCATCCACCTTCCTCCCCACCTCCCACCTCCCACCCATCCACCTTCCTCCCCCTGCCTCCCCCCATCCACCTTCCTCCCCATCCACCTTCCTCCCCATCCACCTTCCTCCCCATCCACCTTCCTCCCCATCCACCTTCCTCCCCTCCCTCCCCTCCCTCCCCCTCCCTCTCCTCTCTCCTATCCATCCACCTTCCTCCCGTCTCTTCCTTCCCTTCCTTCTCTACCTCCTATCCATCCATTCTTTTCTCCATTCGTTCCTCCATTCTTCCTGTGTGTGTTTCCATCCATTTGTCTATTCTTTGCTGACTTTGCTAAGCCTGTTTCTTTGACCTTTTCCTTCTTCCTGTGCTGGCCTCACTGCCTTCTTTTCCTTCTGTGTACCTTGTATCTCCTGCTGTCTGTGCTCAAGTTTTATTTGTGGTCTTGCTGTAATTCTAGAGGAAAGTAAAAATGTCACTGACGTTTGGATTTAAATGGAAATGTTCCAGCCCTCTGTGGGAGCCCTGAGGGTTCAGAATTATTTCCCGAGCCCATCCTGTGGCCAGCTCCACCGAGAGCAAGGTCACCTCCTGCCTGCTTCTCCAGGATCCCAACAGATGCCCCTTTCGGGCGACCTTGATAGCTTTTCCTTGCTCCAAGATTCATTCTTGGATCTGAAATTTTAGCAGTTTCCGTGTTTTCTTAATTTTCATAATGGGATTCCAAAAATGCTTCTTCCTGTTTTCAAAACAAGCCAGATTTTGTTCTTGTAACAGAGATTGAGGCTCTGGACACCACTGCAGGTACCAGGAGAATGACAGCCTCTGCTCTCAGGAGAGGGTGTGGAGGGGCCTGGGAGAGGGGCCCCCATTGCAAATGAAAAGGCAGTCACGGGAGAATGTTCAGACACCGCACAAGGGTGACACCGGGCCGCTCGCACTCATGGATCACTTCTGCACCTGCATTTCCTTGTCAAGAAAACAGCAGAAGTAATAGTCCTGGCTTGGTGCTTTTTGTGCTGAGGAATGAGTGACGCATCAAATGCTTAGGCCAGGGCTGCAGTGTTAGCTACTGCTGCTTCTGTCCAGAGGCAGGAGGCTGAGCCTAGGAAAGTTCACAAACTTGCCTAGGATCCCACAGAATGACAGGAGCCAGACGGATTGGGGCCACGACCGCAGGCATGGGATCTCCCGTCCCCGGAGGACCGGATCTGAGCTGGTGCCTCACGTGGCCAATGCATGATAGCTGAGCAGGTGCTCCTGGGAGGAGAACCTCATCTCCATCTCGGCCGTTTTCTTGCCTCAAGAGACCTTGCTCTTTGTTCTCCAGACTCTTGAGTGTGTGAAGGCAGCCACCCCATCTCCCTGGGGATACCTCCTTCCCAGGGACCATGCCGGCCTCTCTCCCCTGACCACGCCTTCTGTCATAAGGCTTCTAGTCTTCCTGTGATGCTCCTGAGAGCTGGTTTTCAATCACAGTTCCCCAAACTGAACGTGACTGTGAACGTGAGCCCTCAGCAGCGCAGAGCGGTATGCTGCAGTCATGCGTCTTAGTGATTGTTCATGTTTGTGCTACCCAGAGGTATCTGTTCCAGCAGCCATGCTTGGTTTCCCTGTGACGGGGACAGTGGGTATGCCCCTCTGCTGCCCCTGGGCCCTGTGCGGTCACAGGCTGGAATCCAGTTGAGCGACGCCTATTTGTGGCTTTTTTCTTCCAGGAACATATCGTTAAGCCACTTGCAGCCTCGTTTGGAATGACATCAAAGGAAAATGAATGAAGGAAACATGTACATTCATACTCGTTTCTTTTGCCGTCTTATTGCAACCTGTAGAAGCTAGTTCTTCTATTTTATTCATTTGTTTTCAGACTTTTGTTGCAAACTTTACATTTCCACTTAGGAGATATTCACGAGGATGGTATGCAAAAGTAGCTTTCTGAGATCAGACATGTAAGGTCTGTGAGAAGCCGAGCAGCAGCCTGGAACTCCGTGCACCATCGTCCATGGGCACCAAGAGGAGGTTAGGGTTGGAGGTAATCACAGGAAGCCTGTTTGAGTGGACCAGATAGGTGTGGTACTGAGATTGAAGGTGAAACATTAAAAACGTCAGGCCACTGGATACGCTTGGCAACTTGGAAGTGTGCCTTTATCTGTTTCTCCCAACTGTGCTGTCAGTGACTATATAAGTCCACAGCACAAGAGAAGTTAGAGAAATTTGTGGTTCATCATTTAGCAAAATGGAGAAAGCCAAGATGCAGACACGGCGGACAGCCATGGGTGCTGTACACATGGAGCCCAGAGAACGGTGTCCAGGAAGCAGGCGGCCGCTTTTCCTCCTCCTCCCAGCCATGTGTGTTATCTGGAGAAATTAAACTGGGAGGCTCCAGATTTGGGGATGATACTGACAACAGAGGCTCCAGGTTAGAGGGTGAACATGCCTGTGTTGGAAACAGGAGAGGAGAGGGCTCTTCGGGCAAACGAAACAGCCCCGTTGAAGCCTTCCTTGGGGAGAGATTTGGTGGTGTGCCCCCGTGAGAAGAAAAACCTGATTTGCAGCAAAAAGATTATCGAGGGAGAAAAGAAAGGAATGGATATTACAACCTGGCTTGCAGCTCCTCCAGTGGGAATGAATAAAAGATTATTGAAGGAGAAGAGAAAGGAATGGGTATTACATAAGGATTATAGCATCAGAGTGAAGTTTAACTTCTCACCAATAATGGAAATGAAAGGCAATGAATAAAAGTAATTTTCACCCAGAAGTCCGTATCTAGGCGAAAGACTCGGTCTCACTGGGGTAGAAAGAGAAGCACTTTCGGATGTGTGGGGCCCCCAAGTGTTCCTTCTGGTTCTTCCTTTCTGAAACATTCAAGGTGCTCCTTTAGCACGGGAGTGTGGAGAGACGAGGGGGCATTGAAGAGCATGAGAACAAGTGACCAACACAGCAGCCACAGCCAGCGGGAAGAAAGGCGTGGCCCAGTGACGGTAGCACGTTTGGGACTGGGGCGGGGGCTCCAAGAGGACTTCCAGGAAAATTGAACAGATTCTCACCAGGTTGTCAGTGTTTGATCGTGGGCAGGAAGGTATGGGAAAGAGTTTTTCAGTTCTGCTGGAGAATTGTGAAAGGATTGGCAATAGGTACATTGTAAGCCAAGATAGTGGAAAATAGATAAAATATTAACTCCAGAATCATTGAAAAGCGTAAGATAGAACGGTATTTGTAGCACACTGCGGACGCTGATGTTGATGACCACAGTGGCGTAAGGGGTGGTGTCTAAAAAGGACAATTCAGGAAGTCATGTGGTAAGTCCATGTTTATGAATGTAAGTGCCAGGTAGCTACTGTTTTTCATGTGAGACTTGATAATACTCTTTGATTTCCTAAAATGCATCTGTTTGATAAAAAGGTAATTGAAGATCATTTTTAAAAGATCAGTTGTAGATGATGACTGGAAGAGGTTGGAGCAGCAGACAGTTCAGTCCTCAGGAACTGATGGTGATTTGGATGCCCTGAAAGAAAAGCACATGAAACTTAGCAAAATGACGGTGTAGGAGCCATGCTTAACTTAGTTCTGAATTCGCCAGCCTGATACATGAGACCCACACACGCACCATCAAAAGCTGATGTTCAGAAACCACCAGAGTAAGGAATATGAAGTCCACAGACTCTACAACTCTCATAAGAGCCCATCATGGAAAACCAGGGACTAAATATTTCTTTTGTTAACTTAAAACTTTTATTTCTGGTTTACTTTCAATCAGATATTACTGATCCATTTCTGAAGAAGCATCTATTAGTGATTGGTGCTCACTCTTAGAGCAGTTCTTCATGGAACTGTGGGGACGACGTAGGATGACGTCCTTCCTGTGGTATCAGAGCCGTTCACGGAGCTGTGGGGACGGCGTAGGATGACGTCCTTTCTGTGGTATCAGAGCCGTTCACAGAACTGTGGGGATGACATAGGATGACGTCCTTCCTGTGGTATCAGAGCCGTTCACGGAGCTGTGGGGGTGACGTCCTTTCTGTGATATCAGAGCCGTTCACAGAACTGTGGGGATGACATAGGATGACGTCCTTTCTGTGGTATCAGAGCCGTTCACGGAACTGTGGGGATGACATAGGATGATGTCCTTTCTGTGGTATCAGAGCTGTTCATGGAACTGTGGGGTGATATTGTTCCCGTGGTGTCAGAGTAGTTCTTCGTGGAACTGTGATGATGATGTCCTTCCTTTGGGGGCTTAGTTTTGTCTAGTTGTGTTCCTTGCCACCCTGTTATTGCCTGAATGTAATCAATATGTGACAGGTGGATTCACATCAATGTTTTGACCAATACCATTAAACCGTTTTTATCTGACCGCATTAATGTTTTTTGTTATTCACCAAGTAATTGTGATTCATAGTCGAACATAATCTGTTAAAACACTTGGCATCCAATGGAGTAAGTTTCCAGAGAGTAATCTGGAATGAGCAAAGCTGGACGTTCATGGTATGTCCTGGTTACCTGAATTATATTGTTAAATTATTATCTAAGATTTATTTTAACAATTACTTTAATAACAAATATACTTTTAAATTTTCTTAAGAGCTTATACAGCTCATTCTGTATATTTATTACATTAAAAGGTCATAACTTGAGTCTATGTCTTGGGCCCTGTTGCTCTAATCCTGACTCCCAGGAATTCAGTTGCCACCTGTGGCTGAGTTTGTGTCTCTCCCTGCCTGTCAGTGGACCTTTGTGCTGTGAAAGGGACCGTGGCGGCGTCTAGCCAGGAGGGGTCTCCCTGGCGGTGGGAGAGCTTCCTCCTCAGTCCTGGCCCTCCTGTCTGTGGGCTCTGAGGCGCCGCCATGCCCAGTCCCGTGGGTAGCTCTGGCTTTGCTGTGGGGATGGAGGGCATGATTTGTTAGAGTCTGCTGACTCCGCTGAGTACAGTCACACCTCACTCTGCTGTTTTTATTGAAATCCAGGGGTGGACCAAGCTTTGCCGCAAGAACGCCGGGCTCCTGTCACTCCTTCCTCCGCCTCTCGCTACCACCGCCGACGGTCTTCAGGGTCACGAGATGAGCGCTATCGGTCAGGTAAGCACGGGGTGGGGTGATACAATACGTCCATCTGCCACCTGTGCCAGGACGGTGCCTGTGCCCAGCCACTGGGCGAGGCAGAAGTGCAGTGGGCGTGGACCTGCAGCACGCGAGGGGCCTCCAGCTTTCTGCACGGACACACCCTCTCGGGAGACGCCAGTGTCCGGTAAATAGCTCTTCACGTGGTTTACAAGCCCATGTTGGCTACTATTCAGAATTGCATATTAATTAAAAAGATTATAATCTCGTGCCAAATTTTTCTTTTTTAGGTGTCACTGTTAAATAACTTTTTAATCGTGGTTGCTAGTATAGTTTTTTCTTTTTCTTACCATCAGTGATTTGTTTTCTAGGTCTACTTTTCTAAACAGAAATGAAAACCATACATTGTTATGTGTTTCCTGTCTTTCATCTGTGTTTTATGATGCCGTCTGCACAGGGTTGTCTGGAGACTGAGTTGCCAGTGCCACCTGGGCTTGGCCAGCTGAAATTTCATTAATTTAGCAACAGAAAACTTAGGCTGTCGGGCGTGGTGGTGGGCACCTGTAGTCCTAGCTACTCATCAGGCTGAGGCAGGAGAAATGCTTGAACCTGGGAGGCGGAGGTTGCAGTGAGCCGAGATCACGCCACTGCACTCCAGCCTGGGCAACAGAGCAAAACTCCATCTCAAAAACAACAACAACAAAAACTCAGGCTGTGATTAATGTTTGAATTATTCTGAGAGAGTTTTTCCAACATGTAGGTTAAAGTTGCTTCTTTAAAAGAAAATTACCTGTGAATTCTTTTGTAGTTCCCAGGGCACCGGTGAGGGTAGGGGCGATCGCTGGTGATGGACCCGATTCGTGAATCCCTTTGTTTTGCAAATGCCCTTCACTGGCATCCTCACATTGTTCTCACATGGAGCTTTCATGATAAGCAGGTGAAGTCGTGACTGTTGTCTTCTGTGTCAGAAGAAAAAAGTGAGGCTAAGGGATGACGGAACTCACCTGGTGTTCGAGGAAAGCCTGTGAGTCTCGGAACTCACCTGGTGGTCGAGGAAGCCTGTGAGTGTCAGTCGTGCTGTAATGAATCTCTCTGTCCATGCAGGCTCATGTGATTAGCTGCTTCTGCATCCTCAGTTGCCGTCTGCCTGGCCTCCTGGCTCTGCTCCTCTTTCTGGAGAGGAGATTTTATGGCCTCAGAGAGTGTCACCCATGCAAAAGAGGACACACCTGAGAGCCTGAATGAAAAGCTGGTGCCACCTCCTGGGCGCCCCTGCTGCCTTCTCCAAGGAGGCTGTGACCCAGGAAAATGTGTGCGGATGGAATGAAGGAGAATTTGTTCCCAAATCCACCCTCTGTTGTTTCACACCTGTCTTAAGCCCCGACACATATTGAGACCTTCTCTTACTCATGTGGGTGTCTCGGAGGCCCCTGTCGAGTTCAGGAGTGTGGAGGCACCTGCGTACTGTCAGCCTGTGACCAACGCTTCCCTCACTGTGTGTCAGTGCTGCCATGCAGACACCCTGTCTGTGAACACACAACACACCCAGACATGCACGCAGGCTGAGTTCACATGGCTTCAGTTCTCACAGAGGCCAGTGGGGGTCTATCTTCCATTTTATAGATGAGGAAACTGAAGTTCAGGGAGGCTGTCCAATGGCTGACGATCACACGGGGTCGCTCCTCGCAGGAGGATGCAAGCCCATCTTTGGCCGGCCATCTTACCACACAGGAGATCCGCGTCAGTCGCCACTGCGTGTTTCCTACATTCTCTCTCTCTCCACGATGCTGCAGGGGTGTTGATAAACCCTGTGTTTACCTTCGGATCATGCCATCTTCACAATCCCAGCTACTCCACGAGATAAGCATGGCGGGTTGTGGTTGTCTCACGGTCTTCTCTCTTGATAAAAGCCTGAGAGAGGTGGGTGTAGTAGGAGATGGTTATCTCTTGGCTTGGGGTGCGTTTTCTGTTCATCCGTGCACCTTACCTCACCTCTTCAAAGGCAGGAAGGTGTGGAAGAGAGAGGCACATGGCAGAGGGGGTGGCTGAGAGTGGCAGGATGGGTGGAGGAGACCGACACTTCAGCTCAGAGTCTGCAGGCTCTGCTCTGGAGGGGAAGCTAGACCCAACGTGAGAAGCACGGTTCATTTCTCCTGTTTTTGTAAAATTGTGAAATATGGCGCCTCTTCACACACAATCTCTCCCGTTCCCCATCCTGACTCATGTCTCCATCGCCATTATAACCACATGATACTCTGTCTATCTGCATGTCTGTGTATTCGTTATTTACCTACCTGTCAATCATCCATCCATTTATCAACCTCTCTGCATCTGTCTACATATTCGCCAATCATCTACTTACCTATCAAGCATCCATTTACGTCCACCATCCGTCCATCTATCAAACATTTCATCCATTTACCCCACTACTCAGCCATTCTTCCACCATCCACCTCCCCACCTCTCACTTTCTTCCATAAGAATACGAGGTCCACACAGGCCAGGATCTCTGTTCTGTTCATTCGTGTAGGCCAAGCACCTGAAATACTGCCTGGCTTCTATATTTTGAAGGAAGATGAGGGAGTGTGACACATTTGGGGAACGGCAAGAAGTTAGGTAGGAGCGGCTGGGTTATAGCATCTTGTGCATCACGCTCGGGAATTTGGACTTGATCCTGAAGATGATGGGATCCACTAGAATATTTTAGGTGAAGGGACAGTGGGGGCCAGTCAGGGTTTGAAGATCACTTTAGCAGCAGCATGGAGCATGGGCTGAAAGTGGGGGAGTCCAAACAACCCTGAATGCCTGAAACTGATGTGTACTTAAGAGATATCTGTCAGGGCTGGGTGCTGTGGCTCATGCCTGTAGTCCCAGCACTTTGGGAGGCCGAGGCGGGCAGATCACTTGAGTTCAGGAGTTCAAGACCAGTGTGGCCAACATGGCGAAACCCCATCTCTATGAAAAATACAAAAATTAGCCAGGCATGGTGGTGCATGCCTGTAATCCCAGCTATTCCAGAGGCTGAGGTGGGAGAATCTCTTGAACCCGGGAGGTGGAGGTTGCCGTGACCTGAGATCATACCACTGCACTCCAGCCTCGGCGACAGAGTGAGACTGTGTCTCAAAAAAAAAAAAAAAAAAATCAGTACCAGTGAGATTTGAGAAATGCTCAAAAGATAATAGCAATAGGACCTGAAGGTTGGGTTAATATGGAGGAACATGAGAGGAAATCAGGGTGACCTTGATGTCCTAGTTATGCACCTGCACAGAGGATAGTCTCCGATTCTGCACCCAGAGTGACTCCGAGATGTCCAGCTTATGCACCTGCACAGATAATGGTCTCCAATTCTGCTCCCAGGGTGAATCCGAGATGTCCTAGTTATGCACCTGCACAGATGATGGTCTCCAATTCTGCACCCAGGGTGACACCAAGGTGTCAGCTCATGCACCTGCACAGATGATGGTCTCCAATTCCACAGCTCCTTCTCTTTAGGGAATCAAGCTTACTGTGTATAGGTTACAGGTGGTAGAATTTGCCTTACTGTGTAGAAGATACTATGAACGATTAGGAAGACAGTCCTTGAAGTGTCATTTATTTGAGATATAATGGAAAGCACTATTACTCCATGGATGCCGTTGTAGTTTTTAAAAGTTGGGTACTCATCTTTTTTTGTTTGTTTTTGAGATGGAGTTTCACTCTTGTTGCCCAGGCTGGAGTGCAATGGTGTGATCTCTGTGGTGTGACACAGGTCACGCCACAAACTCTGCCTCGTGGGTTCAAGCGATTCTCCTGCCTCGGCCTCTCAAGTAGCTGGGATTACAGGCATGCGCCACCATGCCTTGCTAATTTTGTATTTTTAGTAGAAACAGGGTTTCTCCATGTTGGTCAGGCTGGTCTAGAACTCCCGACCTCAAGTGATCCACCTGCCTTGGCCTCCCAACGTGCTGGGATTACAGGTGTGAGCCACTGCACCTGGTCTCATCTTTGTTTTAATCAATAATGACTGATTGGCATATGGAGCGCACCCCATGACCTTTGCATTGCCTGTGAAGTCTCAGGTGGGGTTCTCATTTTCTGTAGCCAACACAGAGCAACTCCCCTTTATGTGTCATGGCAGCCACCCTTCAGGAAAGCAGGAGGGGCATGGGGTCATTACTGGGTTTCCTTATTCTTTGCTGTTTCTTGCTGTTACAGGAATCTAGTTGTGAGTTCTCTAAATTTAGATATACTATAATTTACTTAGAGTATATGCTCACGTGGTTTTAACAATAAGGTGTGAGATAAGAGGAGCTTATGTTAGTTTATTACCAATAGACAGATTTCACAATTTTCTGTCTGCTTTTTTCTTTCTCCTGAACCGACCGCGAAGACTGGAATCATTCACAAGGAAAGGGCTGTGGCTTCTAGGGAGACTTGGCAGCTCGAGGTCTGTGACCACTCATCTTGCAGTAGAGCTACTGTGGTTGCCCCAGGGACTGAATTTTTTAATTTATATATATTTTTTATTATACTTTAAGTTCTGGAGTACATGTGCAGAACATGCAGGTTTGTTACATACGTATACATGTGCCATGGTGCTTTGCTGCACCCATCAACCCATCACCTACATTAGGTATTTCTCCTAATGCTATCCCTCCTGTAGTCCTCCAGCACCCAACAGGCCCTAGTGTGTGATGTTCCCCTCCCTGTGTCCATGTGTTCTCATTGTTCAACTCCCATTTATGAGTGAGAACAAGTGGTGTTTAGTTTTCTGTTCTGGTGTTAGTTGACTGAGAATGATGGCTTCCAGCTTCATCCATGTCCCTGCAAAGGACATGAATTTACCCGTTTTTTATGGCTGCATACTATTCCATGGTATATATATGCCACATTTTCTTTTTTTTTTTTTTTTACACTTAAATAATTTTTATTTTATTTATTTTTTTTTTATACTTTAAGTTTTAGGGTACATGTGCACATTGTGCAGGTTAGTTACATATGTATACATATGCCATGCTGGTGCGCTGCACCCACTAACTCGTCATCTAGCATTAGGTATATCTCCCAATGCTATCCCTCCCACCTCCCCCCACCCCACCACAGTCCCCAGAGTGTGATATTCCCCTTCCTGTGTCCATGTGATCTCATTGTTCAATTCCCACCTATGAGTGAGAATATGTGGTGTTTGGTTTTTCGTTTTTGCGATAGTTTACTGAGAATGATGGTGTCCAATTTCATCCATGTCCCTACAAAGGACATGAACTCATCATTTTATGGCTGCATAGTATTCCATGGTGTATATGTGCCACATTTTCTTAATCCAGTCTATCATTGTTGGACATTTGGGTTGGTTCTAAGTCTTTGCTATTGTGAGTAATGCCGCAATAAACATACGTGTGCATGTGTCTTTATAGCAGCATGATTTATAGTCATTTGGGTATATACCCAGTAATGGGATGGCTGGGTCAAATGGTATTTCTAGTTCTAGATCCCTGAGGAATCGCCACACTGACTTCCACAATGGTTGAACTAGTTGACAGTCCCACCAACAGTGTAAAAGTGTTCCTATTTCTCCACATCCTCTCCAGCACCTGTTGTTTCCTGACTTTTTAATGATTGCCATTCTAACTGGTGTGCGATGATATCTCATAGTGGTTTTGATTTGCATTTCTCTGACGGCCAGTGATGATGAGCATTTTTTCATGTGTTTTTTGGCTGCATAAATGTCTTTTGAGAAGTGTCTGTTCATGTCCTTTGCCCACTTTTTGATGGGGTTGTTTTTTTCTTGTAAATTTGTTTGAGTTCATTGTAGATTCTGGATATTAGCCCTTTGTCAGATGAGTAGGTTGTGAAAATTTTCTCCCATGTTATAGGTTGCTTGTTCACTCTGATGGTAGTTTCTTTTGCTGTGCAGAAGCTCTTTAGTTTAATCAGATCCCATTTGTCAATTTTGTCTTTTGTTGCCATTGCTTTTGGTGTTTTGGACATGAAGTCCTTGCCCACGCCTATGTCCTGAATGGTAATGCCTAGGTTTTCTTCTAGGGTTTTTATGGTTTTAGGTCTAACGTTTAAGTCTTTAATCCATCTTGAATTGATTTTTGTATAAGGTGTAAGGAAGGGATCCAGTTTCAGCTTTCTACATATGGCTAGCCAGTTTTCCCAGCACCATTTATTAAATAGGGAATCCTTTCCCCATTGCTTGTTTTTCTCAGGTTTGTCAAAGATCAGATAGTTGTAGGTATGTGGCATTATTTCTGCAGGCTCTGTTCTGTTCCATTGATCTATATCTCTGTTTTGGTACCAGTACCATGCTGTTTTGGTTACTGTAGCTTTGTAGTAAAGTTTGAAGTCAGGTAGTGTGATGCCTCCAGCTTTGTTCTTTTGGCTTAGGATTGACTTGGTGATGCGGGCTCTTTTTTGGTTCCATATGAACTTTAAAGTAGTTTTTTCCAATTCTGTGAAGAAAGTCATTGGTAGCTTGATGGGGATGTCATTGAATCTGTAAATCACCTTGGGCAGTATGGCCATTTTCACGATATTGATTCTTCCTACCCAAGAGCATGGAATGTTCTTCCATTTGTTTGTATCCTCTTTTATTTCCTTGAGCAGTGGTTTGTAGTTCTCCTTGAAGAGGTCCTTCACATCCCTTGTAAGTTGGATTCCTAGGTATTTTATTCTCTTTGAAGCAATTGTGAATGGGAGTTCACTCATGATTTGGCTCTCTGTTTGTCTGCTGTTGGTGTATAAGAATGCTTGTGATTTTTGTACATTGATTTTGTATCCTGAGACTTTGCTGAAGTTGCTTATCAGCTTAAGGAGATTTTGGGCTGAGACAATGGGGTTTTCTAGATAAACAATCATGTTGTCTGCAAACAGGGACAATTTGACTTCCTCTTTTCCTAATTGAATACCCTTTGTTTCCTTCTCCTGCCTGATTGCCCTGGCCAGAACTTCCAACACTATGTTGAATAGGAGTGGTGAGAGAGGGCATCCCTGTGTCGTGCCAGTTTTCAAAGGGAATGCTTCCAGTTTATGCCCATTCAGTATGATATTGGCTGTGGGTTTGTCATAGATAGCTCTTATTATTTTGAAATATGTCCCATCAATACCTAATTTATTGAGAGTTTTTAGCATGAAGGGTTGTTGAATTTTGTCAAAGGCTTTTTCTGCATCTATTGAGATAATCATGTGGTTTTTGTCTTTGGCTCTGTTTATATGCTGGATTACATTTATTGATTTGAGTATATTGAACCAGCCTTGCATCCCAGGGATGAAGCCCACTTGATCATGGTGGATAAGCTTTTTGATGTGCTGCTGGATTCGGTTTGCCAGTATTTTATTGAGGATTTTTGCATCAATGTTCATCAAGGATATTGGTCTAAAATTCTCTTTTTTGGTTGTGTCTCTGCCTGGCTTTGGTATCAGAATGATGCTGGCCTCATAAAATGAGTTAGGGAGGATTCCCTCTTTTTCTATTGATTGGAATAGTTTGAGAAGGAATGGTACCAGTTCCTCCTTGTACCTCTGGTAGAATTCGGCTGTGAATCCATCTGGTCCTGGACTCTTTTTGGTTGGTAAACTATTGATTATTGCCACAATTTCAGATCCTGTTATTGGTCTATTCAGAGATTCAACTTCTTCCTGGTTTAGTCTTGGGAGAGAGTATGTGTCGAGGAATGTATCCATTTCTTCTAGATTTTCTAGTTTAGCCACATTTTCTTTATCCAGTCTATCATTGATGGGCATTTGGGTTGGATCCGAGTTTTTGCTATTGTGAACAGTGCTGCAATAAACATACGTTTGTATGTGTCTTTATAGTATCATGATTTATAATCCTTTGGGTGTATACCCAGTAATGGGATTGCTTGATCAAATGGTATTTCTGGTTCTAGATCCTTGAGGAATCACCACACTCTTCCACAATGGTTGAAC